>NC_000023.11:75492845-75795875 GCF_000001405.40 Homo sapiens | reverse complement strand
TCAATAAAATACTGGCAAACCAAATCCAGCAGAACATTAAAAAGTTTATCACCACAATCAAGCTGGCTTCATTCCTGGAATACAAGCCTGGTTGAAAATATGTAAATCAATAAATGTAATCCATTACATAAACAGAAGTAATGAAAAAACACATGATTATCTAAATAGATGCAGAAAAGGCCTTTGATAAAATTCAACATCTCTTTATGAAAAAACTATCGATAAACTAGGTATTGATGGAACATATTTCAAAATAATAAGAACTGTTTATGACAAACTCACAGCCAATATCATACTGAATGGGCAAAAGCTGGAAACATTCCGTTTGAAAACCGGCACAAGACTAGGATATTCCTTCTCACCACTTTTTTTTTTTAGCATAGTATTGGAAGTTCTGGCCAGGGCAATTAGGCAAGGGAAAAAGTAAAAATAAAAAGTATTCAAATAGGAAAAGAGGAAGTCAAATTGTCTCTGTTTGCACGTGACATGATTGTATATTTGTATATTTAGAAAACCCCATTGGCTCAGCTCCAAAACTCCATAAGCTGGTAAACAACTTCAGCAAATTCTCAGCATACAAAACCAATGTGCAAAAATCACAAGCATTCTTATACATCAAAAATAGACAAGCAGAAAGCCAAAACATAAATCAACTACCATTCACAATTGCTACAAAGAGAATGAAATCTCTAGGAATACATCTAACAAGGGATGTGAAGGACTTCTTCAAGGAGAACTACAAACCACTGCTCAAGGAAATAAGAAAGGACACACAAATGGAAAAACATTCCATCCTCATGGATAGAATGAATCAATATCATTAAAATGACCTTACTGCTCAAAGTAACTTATAGATTCCATGCTATTCCCATCAAACTACCATTGATATTCTTCACAGAATTTAAAAAAACTCCTTTAAATTTCATAGAGAACAAAAAAAACCAGTATAGCCAAGACAATCCTAAGGAAAAAAAAAATGAAACAAAGCTGGAGGCATCACGCTACCAAACTTCAAACTATACCATAAGGCTACAGTAACCAAAATGGCATGTTATGGGTACCAAAACTGACATATAGATCAATGGAACAAAACAGAGACCACAGAAATATCACCACACATCTACAAACATCTGATTTTCAACAAACCTGACAAAAATTAGCAATGGAAAAAGAATTCCTTATTTAACAAATGGCGCTGGGAAAACTGGCTGGCCATATGCAGAAAACTGAAACTGGACCTCTGCCCTAGACATTATACAAAAATTAACTCAAGATGGAATAAAGACTTAAATGTAAAATGCAAAACCATAAATACCCTAGAAGAAAACCTAGGTAAAACCATTCAGGACATAGGCATTGGGAAATATTTCTTGACAAAACGCCCAAAGAAATTGCAACAAAAGCCAAAATTGACAGATGAAATACAATTAAACTAAAGAGCTTCTTCACAGCAAAATAAACTATCATCAGAGTGAACAAGCAACCTACAGAATGGGAGAAAATTTTCTCAATCTACCTATCTGACAAAGGTCTAATCTCCAGAATCTACAAAGTACATAAACAAATGTATATGAAAAAACAAACAACCCTGTCAAGAAGTAGGCAAAGGCTATCAATAGACATTTCTCAAAAGAAGACATTTATGCAGCCAACAAACATGAAAAAAGCTTAACATCACTGATAGTTAGAAAAATGCAAGTCAAAGCCACAATGAGATATGATATCATGCCAGTCAGAATGGAGATTATTAAAAAGACAAGAAAAAACAGATGCTGAAGAGGCTGTAGAGAAATAGAAACACTTTTACACTGTTGGTTGGAATGTAAATTACTTCAACAATTGTGGAAGATAGTGTGACAATTCCTCAAGGACCTACAACCAGAAATATCATTTGACCCAGCAATCCCACTACTGGGTATATAACCAAAGGATTATAAATCATTCTACTATAAAGACACATGTACACGCATGTTTATTGCAGCATTATTTACAATTGCAAAGACACAGAACCAACCCAAATGCCCATCGATGATAGACTGGATTAAGAAAATGTGGCATATATACACCATGGAATACTATTCAGCCATAAAAAAGGATGAGTTCATGTCCTTTGTAGGGACATGGATGAAGCTGGAAACCACCATTCTGAGCAAACTATCGCAAGGAAAGAAAACCAAACACTGCATGTTCTCACTCATAGGTGGGATTTGAACAATGAGAACACTTGGACACAGGAAGGGGAACATCACACTCCGGGGCCTGTCATGGGGGGAGGGGGGAGGGATAGCATTAGGAGATATACCTAATGTAAATGATGAGTTAATGGGTGCAGCACACCAACATGGCATATGTATACATATGTAACAAACCTGCACATTGTGCACATGTACCCTAGAACTTAAAGTATAATAATAATAAAAAATAAACCCCTCTGACATGAAAAAAAAGAGGTTCTATTTTGATGTAATTCCAAGATTTGCTTCAAGATTTAGAGCTTGTTTTAGCAGTTCTTGTAGTGCTGGCTTGGTAGTAGCAAATTATCTCAGCATTTGTTTGAAAAAGATTCTATCTTTCCTTCATTTATGAAGCATAGTTTTGCTGGATACAAAATTCTTAGCTGATCAGTGTTTTGTTTGAGGAGGCTGAAGATAGGGCCCTACTCCCTTCTAGATTGTTGGGTTTCTACTGAGAAATCTGCTGTTAATCTGATAGGTTTTCCTTTATAGGTTACCTCAGATTTTAAGATTCTTTCTATCATCTTATCTTTAGATAACCTGATGACAATGTGCCTAGGCAATGATCTTTTTGTGATGAATTTCCCAGGTGTTCTTTGAGTTTTTTGCATTTGGATGTCTAGATTTTAGCAAGGCCAGGGAAGTTTTTTTCAATTATACTCTTCAATACATTTTACAAACTTCATATTTCTCTTCTTCCTCAGGATGGCCGACTATTCTTAGGTTTTGTCATTTATCATAATCCCAGACTTCTTGAAGGCTTTGTTCATATTTTTTTTATTTGTCATTGTTGGATTGGGTTAATTTGAAAACCTTGTCCTTGAGTTCTAAAATTCTTTCCTCTGCTTGTTCAATTATATTGCTGAGACTTTCCAGGGCATTTTGCATTTCCATAATTGCTCCAATGTTTCCTGAAGTTTTGATTGTTTTTATTTATTTATGCTATCCATTTCATTGAATATTTCTCCCTTCACCTCTTTATTTTTTTTTAAATTTCCTTACATTCGGCTTTGCCTTTCTCTGGTGCCTTCCTGATTAGCTTAATAGGTAGCCTTCTGAATTCTTTTTCAGGTAAATCAGGGACTTCTTCTTGGTTTGGATTCATAGCTGGTGAGCTAGTGTGATTTTGGGGGTATGTTAAAGAACTTTGTTTTTTCATATTACCAGAGTTGGTTTTCTGGTTCATTCTCATTTGGGTAGAACCTGTCACAGGGAAGGTCTAGGGCTGAAGGCTGCTGTTCAGATTGTTTTGTCGCACCGGGTGTTCCCTTGTAGTACTCTCCTCCTTTTTCTATGGATGTGGCTTCCTGAGAGCCAAGCTGTGGTGATTATTATCTCTCTTTTGGATCTAGCCACCCAGCAAGTCTACTAGGCTCTGGGCTGGTACTGGGGGTTATCTGCAGAGTCCTGTGATGTGTACCATCTGTGGGTCTCTCAGCCATGGATACCAGCACCTGTCCTGGTGGAGGTGGCAGGGGGGTGAAATGGACTCTGTGAGGGTTCTTAGCTTTGGTGGTTTAATTCACTATTTTTGTGCTAGTTGGCCTGTCGGGTGCTTTCCTGAGAGCATCAGCTGTGGTACTATGGGGAGAAACAAGCGGTGAGTGGGGCCCTAGAACTCCCAAGAGTATATGCCCTTTGTCTTCAGTTACCAGGGTACGTAGGGAAAGACCATTGTGTGGGGGCAGGGCTAGGCATGTTTGAGCTCAGACTCTTTCCTTGGGCATGTCTTGCTGTGGCTGCTGTGGGGGATAGGGATGAGGTTCCCAGGTCAATGGAGTTATGATCTTAGGAGGATTATGGCTGCCTCTACTGTGTTACACAGGCTGTCAGGGAAGTGGGGGAAAGCTAGCAGTCACAGGCCTCACCCAGCTTCCACTCAACCCAAAGGGCTCGGCTGGAGGTTTCCTTTTCCTTGTGGCCTTTCCCCAGTGCTTCTGGCAGTCCTCTTCAAGAACCCCTGTGAGGCAAAGCAGAAATGGCTTGCTAAGGAACCCAGTAAGTCAACAGGGCTTTCCCTGCTGCTTTCTCTACCCCTGTATTTCAGTCCGCTCTCTAAATTGACTAAGCTCCAGGTAAGGTCAAAATATTCTCCTCTAATCTAGACCTTCAGGTTTCCCAGTGGGGGAGTGTGTTCAGGGGTGGATGATCTCCCTTTCCCAATTCCAGTTTGGGCACTCACAGTATTTGGGGTGTCTCCTGGGTCCTGCAGGAGCAAACCACTTCCTTCAGAGGGACTGTGGGTTCTCTTGGTTTTCCTAATGTATTCCAGCAGTCGTTCTGAAGCAAAAGTTCATGATGCAAGCCTACACATAGCCTGGTATACTATCAGATAAGCCTTGGTGCTCTCCTGTTGAACATGAACATTTTCACACATCACCAACTTCAGATAAGACCAATCTATGACCAAAACTGATCAAGACAAAAACATAACTACTGTATAATCAGATCTGAGCACATTAAAATATGTAGATTGTCTCTGCAACAAAAATTACCAAGCATACCTATATCCTTGCTAACATGAGTGAGTGTCACTCCTTTACCAATTATATTCTTAGCCTTATTCTAAGCTTCTGTCCTTCTAGATAAGATTTGTTAAGACACCCAAACATAGAATTCCCCTAGTTCCTGTCAGAATCCAATCCTGAGTGAACACCCACATCCTTTACATCCTCCACCAAATCACACAAATGAAGCTCAGATCTCATAATAAGTCCCTTTCACATCCACTTACTGAGACAATTCTCCATAATGTGTGTTGTCCCTTTAATGAGCAATAAACCCAATTTGTTCAACTACAGGTATATCCTTGGTTGTCAATATCTAGAGGGCATTTATACTCAAAAGCATATTGAGAAAAATTAGAGATCAAAATACATGAAGGGGTACACCATATTAAGGGATTGTAAGACTTGATATTTTAAAAATACTGACTCTCTTAAATTGGGAAATGACAAAATTCCAAGGCTTCTCAAGTATGAATGTTGATAATAAATTCTAAAATTTAAATAAAATGCAATGGGGCATGAATAGTCAATGCAATATTTAATAAGAACTAGAAAACTAACATTACCATATAGTAATACCTATCAAATTAAAACAATTAAGACAGTGTGGTATTATTGCAAGATAAACAACCTGAGAAATGGAACAACATTGAGAAGATATAAAAAAGCCCATACATATTTGATCACCTGATTTACGATAAGCATGATACTACAATGCCATGATGAAAGCTGGGTTTTCTTTTTTGCAATAATGGTGCTTCATAAATTGAAAATTGGTGTGGTATTTTACCATTTACCATGTGGTGGAAATAAAATGAAAATTCGACCTCTTACCTTACATCATACTCAAAAATAAATTCCAGATAATTTTTACATCTCAAAATAAAAGGTAAAACAATAAATCGTATTTGAAGAAGGCACAGAAATACCTCATTGTCACCTTGGTATACACAAAGATTTTTTAAACATAGCTCATAAAGCACTAATCACATAGGAAATTAATTGATAATGTGGACTACACAATGACTAAGAACTTCTGCTCATTGAAAGATAACATTAAGACTGTGAAAATGTAACCAATATATGAGATAAAACATTTGCAGTACATATATTTGACAAAAGACTTGTATCTATAAAGTACAAAACTTTACAAGTCAACAAGAAAAGAAAGACAGATCAGTTGAAAAAAATGGGCAAAACACTTGAACAAGTATCTCACAAAAGAGAATATCCAAGTGGCTGATAAACACATAAAAATGAGGTCAGTGTTATTTGTTACCAGTGATAGGTAAATTAAAATCATAATACCATACTGCTTCACCACTCATTAAAATAGTTATCATGAAAAAGGAAAAAAAAAGCAAGTATTGGTTAAGACATGGAGAAACCAGAACACTCATTCTCTGCTTATGAGAGTACAAATTGGTGTGACTCCTTCTGGGAATTCTTCAAAGTAGCTGAAAGTATGCATAATCTGTGATCCAAAAATTGTGTTCCTAAGTACCCAATATGAGTGTATGCAAAAGTTCATGAAATGACATATACTAGAATATTAAAAGCAGCACTATTTATTCCAAAAACTGGAAATTACCCAAATGCCCATTGCCATTATAATGAGTAAAAATATATATGTTCAAAAAATAGAAAGCTATAAGGCAAACAATCGAATGTTTTATAATCATAAACAACAGTATGCATGAATCTCACAAACATAATATTCACTAAAAGATGTTAGACACGAAAATAACTATACTGTATAATTCCAATTATATAGAGTTTAGAAATGGGCAAAAATGAATCTATGGTGTTAAAACTTAAGATGATGTTTACTCTTGGGACAGAGGGTCTTCAAATGAGTGGAAGGAGGTGTAAGGGGGACCTCTGGTTGCTGGTAATATTCTGTTTGTTGACTGGCTGCTTGTCATACAAATATGTCCAACTTATGAAAATTCATTGACCTGCATACTTATAATTTACACACTTTTATATAGAAATGTTGTATTTAATAAAAGTATGAAAAAAGAGAAAATTAGAAGAACAAATACTAAAATGTTAAAAACAAATATCTCGGGTGGGTGGAATCATGGATATTCAAAAAAATTTTGACATGTTCTTGTATACTCCAACTTAATAATAATCAGGTCTTGTTATTTGAAACTGAATAAATATTATTGCTTAAAAATGAATTGAATCTAAATGCTTATTACAATTTTAGATATAAAGAAATAAATATAAAAATTTGGGGTATAGCTACCACAATATTATAGCCATACAATGTCATCCAGGGATGATATTTTATGTATGTGAATTTTCTATGTAATTATAATGTTCACTTGAGCACCAATCTTTTTTTTAAAAAAAGTTATGATTTTCTGGATTTAAAATTCTGTAATACTTACTTATCTGCCCTCTTAAACAAAAGTTAACTTTTCTTGGTAAGTCGAGGTCATTCATGATTATACTATACAGTAAAGAATTTGAGAAAAATTAGAACATCTAGGCATTTCTGTCCTTGCACTGAATGCCCTCAGATAACATAGTATTTCAGTCACAATGTCAGCTATGAACATTGTTTCCATCTCCTTCCATTTGAATTATCTATCAATTATCACTTCTTGAGGCTACCTTCTAGCTACTCATACTCCCATACTTCTTAATATTCTGCCTTTAATAACCATTAGCCTGATAAGATAAATGACCAGCTTTTTATGAAAAGTGTTTTTTAAAAAGCTAAATATGAGTAAAAAAAATTATAATGATATACCACAATGCACCCACCAGAATGCCTACAATCAAACAGAACAATAATACCAAGTGTGGACAAGAATACAGAGCAATAGAAATTTTTATGCACTACATGGAGTACAAACTGATGCAAGAATTTTGAAAAACTCTCTGGTAATATCTATGAAAACTAAAAATATACATACTTGTGACCTAGTAATTTTACTCATAGACTTATTTCCAACATAAATATACACATAAACTAAAAGAAAAGTGCAAAAAGGTTCATAGTAACATTACTTGCAATAGCCACAAATGGGAAACAAAGCAAATGCCCATCAACAGTTGACAGGGTAAGTTGTGGTACATATTTCTACAATGGTAAACTATATAGTAATGATAATGAAAAAACTACTTTTATATACAACATGGGTAAATAACACAGTGTAGGATTTTGTTGGAAAAAGATAAATACAAATAAATATATGATGTATAATTCTACTAATATTAGTCAAAGTTTGGGTGGAGGCAAAACTAACTGTGATGCTAGAAGTCTGAACAGGGGTTTTCTCTCAGGACAAATGAGTGGGAAGAGATTGGGAGGGAGTGTCATGGGAGCTTCTGAGATGCTGTAATGGTCTGTTTCTTGAGTGGCATCATGGTCAGATGGTATGTTAAATTTATCATAATTTATCAAGCTCTACATTCATGATTTGTTTACTCTGTGTATGCCATATTTCAATATTAACGTGAAAAAACACTTTATTAAAATTGTTCTGGAAATGTATAAAAAGGAGGTCAGGAAGCATCAAAAAAAGTTCAGAATGGAGAGCATGATCTCATCTTTTTTACATTATACTTAAAGAGCGGAAAACATGCCATATGTCACAGTCACAGAGACAGCTTTTTGTTATTCATTTAACAATAACTAGAACTTTTTAGAAACTTGTAGAATAGAAATAGCTGAGACAAGAAGTGTAGCTCAATATGGCCAGGAAGAAGATATCATGGAAGGATGTACTGGGGAATAAAGATGAAGATAGAGAGCCAAGTAGCGACCAACTTGTTAAGGGTTTCAATGCTGTGGAATGGGATCAGGATGTCATTTCAGAGATAAGATGCTGCCATTCAATGTTGCTTTTCTTTATTAGATGGAGGGAGTAGTAGGAGGTTCAACTCGCGACAAACTGTGAGCTGAATTTCAGGGGGAAAATGTACCAAATTGTTTGTTTTTGTTTATAACTAGAGAGCTTAAAGATCTTATCTCAATTTGCCCCCTGGGAAGCACCTATCTAAGACAAGGAACAGGAGCCCTTCTGGGGAAGGTTAAAGACCAGGGTGAAGGGCCCCATCAGGTCTGGCCTTAATCATACCTTTGTAGCAGCTTGGAAGACAGTGCTGGTTTCTACAACACTCTCCCCGAAAAAAGGATCAGCATACAAACCACACATTTCTACCGTCTAGAACATGCACATTCATTTGTGTAAACATTGATCTCTTTAGCCTAGTTTGACTAAATTCGTGGCCCTGAGTTACCTACTTCAGTACTGAAGAAAGCACCTGGGATGTAGACAATTTCAGAGGTGAGTAACCCCCACATGTGAAGACAGTAGCCTCTGAAGGAATTCCAGGGCATAAGATTACTGAATGTAATGTTCTGTGGAATGTAACAGTATTCATTACCATCAAGAATTTAAGGAAGAATTTCAATTGTAACTGCAGATGGCAACCCTATATAAATCTTTTCCCTTTCCAATGCCGCACTGAAAAATGCAACCATCATAGTCTTCAACTTGATGATTGAAGTCTAGGATTACACCTATGTTTTAGCCCAACTATTTTAGTAGAGCTCTCAGAAAATAAAGCAGCTGACTCACCTCTTCCTGGCAAAAGTGTTTGGATTATGCCTCCCCAAACACACGTGTGCTGGCACGCATACACATACATAAACCCTCTGAATAAATAGCTTCTATTCTGACGCTGCCATTCCTGCCCTGTGGGGCCACAACAAGCTTTGACATACTAAGTGAAGAACAGAAAATCCAATCCTTACTGTCTAGCAACCTTCATCCTCATCTACCACCCATTCTAGTGCACTCTGGCTCTAGTCACCGTGGTGAGTGGCTGTTACACAAACTTGTACCTACACTCCTCTAGGCCTTTCCTGTTGCTGTTACTTCAGGTTAGAATACTACTATAAACCCTTCCCATTTATTCATCACTTAGAGCTCAACTCCTTCTTGAGGCTTTATTGGAAACTGCCCGCAATTTAACATACCCCAGACTAAGCTGTAATTCAATACTTACCTCTGTGTTTGTATCACATGTTAATTCACCCTCCATCAGAGCACCTATTTTCATCTATTTTATGAGTCATGTTTAATAAATAAGGTTAAAGATCAGATGGTGTGAGAGAAAGTAATATGCTTGAGACTGACAGACCTGAGTGGTCTCTTTCATTTATTGCTGCTTGACTTTGGACAGGTACATTTACCTCCATGACCCAGTTTCCTCATCTGTAAAATGAGGATCATTAAGAGTAGCTATCTAAGAGCTAGCATTATATGAATAAGTATGAGGAAAATGAAAGCACCAGAAAGAGTGCCTGCACATAGTCAGTGCTCCATAAGTGTTATCTCTCATTATTATTACCATTGTTTGAACATACCCCAGAATGTAAGCTCCACACAAAAAGGGAAAAATCACTATGTTTGTATTCTGATGTACAGCACTGTGCCTGGCATGTGGCATGTGGTCAGTAAATATCTGTTGAGTGAATGGAAGCTTTAACGAGTCTGTGAAATAATTCTAATCGTTAGCGCCCTCCTCCTCCTCCTCCCTTCCTCCACCTTCTGCTCCTCCTCCTCCTCTCTGAATCCTCTACCGCCTGATAGCATGGTGCTTTAAGCCCCACAGAAAAACTTCAAGTGGAGGGAGCATCACTGAACGGCTCCTCATCCCTTGACCCTTTTGCTATATCTGTTACTCCATTTCTCGAATTCTCTTCTCTAACAAGTTCGAATTCAGCAGCAACCACTTCAACCAGCCTAGCCTGCCCTTCAGAGGTGAGGGGGCAGGAATGAGAGACAAAGCATGGAAGACGAGGAGTGGGGCGTGGCCACCACAATGCAAAGACTGACTGCGCCTGCGTAGGCTGCGGCAAAATAACGCTCTGAGGCTTGCAGTCGTTGCTGGCCAGCACTTGTGTAGAAAGATCGCTCTTCACACCAGATTTCACTTTTGATCCTTCCAGCTCCAGGGTCTCGGGCTTCAGCTTTGTGCCGAGGCACCAACACTGCTGCGGTCCTCTCTCCGACTGATCGCTGATCTCACCGTTCCCGCTCCTGTCTCCTGGAACCATGTCTCTGGTAAGCCAGAATGCACGCCACTGTAGCGCAGAGATCACTGCAGATTACGGCGACGGCAGAGGTGAAATACAAGCTACTAACGCCTCCGGGTCCCCCACCTCCATGCTAGTCGTTGATGCCCCCCAGTGCCCTCAGGCGCCAATCAACTCTCAGTGTGTCAACACTTCCCAGGCCGTTCAGGACCCGAATGACCTGGAGGTCCTGATCGACGAGCAGTCCAGACGTTTGGGGGCGCTCAGGGTCCATGACCCTCTAGAAGACAGGTCGATTGCTTTGGTGAATTTCATGAGAATGAAAAGCCAGACGGAGGGGTCTATCCAGCAGTCCGAGATGCTGGAGTTTCTCAGAGAGTACTCAGATCAGTTCCCTGAGATCCTCAGACGAGCCTCAGCTCACCTGGACCAGGTCTTTGGGTTGAACCTGAGAGTTATTGATCCTCAGGCTGACACCTACAATTTAGTCAGCAAACGGGGTTTCCAGATCACCGATAGGATAGCGGAGTCCCTGGACATGCCAAAAGCAAGTCTCCTGGCCCTAGTCCTAGGCCACATCCTCTTGAATGGGAACCGAGCAAGAGAGGCCTCCATTTGGGACTTGCTGCTAAAAGTTGATATGTGGGATAAGCCTCAGAGGATCAACAACCTCTTTGGGAACACAAGGAACCTCCTCACTACTGACTTTGTGTGCATGCGATTCTTGGAGTACTGGCCGGTGTATGGCACTAATCCCCTTGAGTTTGAGTTCTTGTGGGGCTCTAGAGCCCACAGGGAAATCACAAAGATGGAAGCCCTGAAGTTTGTGTCAGATGCCCATGATGAAGAACCCTGGAGCTGGCCAGAAGAATATAATAAGGCCCTGGAAGGTGACAAAACCAAAGAAAGAAGCCTGACTGCTGGCTTAGAGTTCTGGTCGGAGGACACTATGAATGATAAGGCAAATGATTTGGTCCAGTTGGCTATTAGTGTCACTGAGGAGATGCTGCCTATACATCAGGATGAGCTATTGGCTCACACTGGCAAAGAATTTGAGGATGTGTTCCCAAATATCCTCAATAGAGCTACTCTAATTCTTGATATGTTCTATGGGTTGTCTCTGATTGAGGTTGATACCAGTGAGCACATCTACCTCCTTGTCCAGCAACCAGAATCAGAGGAAGAGCAAGTGATGCTAGAGAGCCTGGGGAGACCCACTCAAGAATATGTAATGCCAATCCTAGGTTTGATCTTCCTGATGGGCAACCGTGTCAAAGAGGCCAATGTCTGGAACTTGCTTCGAAGATTTAGTGTGGATGTAGGGAGAAAGCATTCCATCACCCGTAAGCTTATGAGACAGCGCTATCTGGAATGCAGGCCACTGTCCTACTCTAATCCAGTTGAATATGAGCTTCTATGGGGTCCTCGAGCTCACCATGAAACCATCAAAATGAAAGTCTTGGAGTACATGGCCAGGCTCTACAGAAAGCGACCACAGAACTGGCCAGAACAATATAGGGAGGCTGTGGAAGATGAGGAGGCCAGAGCCAAATCTGAGGCAACTATCATGTTTTTCCTTGACCCCACGTGAAGTCTAGGGAATATGTATCACTTCAGCTGAGTGGCATAAGTTAAAGATGCCTTGGTAAAATAGGCATTGGGGCTCTAAATTAGAATCCAGGTAGGGCTTGTGTGGGAAGTACAAATTGTGCTTGCTGTCTGTGTTCCAATTCTAGTAGTATTTCCTTCCTTTTAATATACTCTTGGATTAGGTTAATGACCAATATTTATAAATGGAATTTTTCATTTGCCATCCCGGTCTTGTTTCAGCATAAAAGTTCAGACAGCTCTGTAAAATGTATTGATAATATTTACATCTTTGAAATAATCAGTAAAATGGTCTGGTACAGGAGTTAAATAACAATGACACACACACAACAAAACAAACACAAAACCACTGATCTGTGATTGCTCTCCCTTTGTGTCTACTGCCGTATACATATATACAACTATATATACACAAATATATATATACACAAAACTGTCATTTACCTGTATTTGCAATAAAAGCATAATGAATTAGACCCTATGCTTGTGCATTCATTTATTCTATAGGCATTAAGCACCTGCCATGCTCTGAGAACAGTGCTGTGTGCTGGGAATAAAAGAGTGAAGAAGACCCAGCTGGGCTCCAGAGCTTAAGGGGGAGGGCTCATGGAAGTAAACAAGCAATTATATTATGCTATGGAAAGTGGCATAATAGGCATAAGCTCAGAGTTCTATGAGAGTCCACAAGAATAACTCCCGATTTTAAGTGCTGGGAAGGATAGTGGGAAGGTGATGGCATCTAAGATAGTCTGGGGAAGGTGCAGGGGTGTCAAGCCTGGATGAGTGGGAAAGTAGTCAGGAATAGTGGTGGGAAGGATGAAGTGGTATGGAGGGCTGGGGACAAGATGTGCTTTAGTGACATCTATTGTAAGATCTGAGGTTGGGGAGAGGAAGGGAAGGACTGCTAGTGAAGACAGAAGCAGCGTGTAAAGCACCTGTGAAGAATTTGAAATAGCTCAGAAAGACAATGACTTTAAAGGAGGAGTGGGAGAAATAACTCTGTGGCAGAGGTAACAAGGGCCCATATCCTCAGAGTGACTCTTGAGAGCCAACAATGGCCTTGCACCTTCAGTCAGACTGAAAAATCTACCTGGAGGAACTCTGCAGGGGATCCTCTGCCAATGCAGTTTATTTCAGCACCCAAGCTGTTAAGGTGAGTGTTTGCATTTAGGCTGTCTTCATTCTGATCCCCCTTACAGCTTCTAACCTGTCTCATAGCTCCCCATAAGCCTTCCCTAGAGAGCCAGCAGGTAACAATTTCTGAGACGGAGCCCTGGTATAAGGATGAGTGTCATATGGAAAATCACTTATTACAGAGGGATGGCTGCTGCCTACCGGTAGTGTAGGATCTATATGTCTTCATTTCCTGGCACACAGAAGCTTTCTGCCTTTTTCATCCATTTAATCACCGGGGGCTACTCCCATCTGCTACCTCCTATTAGATGGGAGAGAGTTGGAAGACATTCCTCACATTTTCATCAGCCTCAGGAAGAGAACGACACAATCGTTTCGCTGGGGGAGCGGCAGGGAGAAGGAAGATATGCCGTTTTGTATCCAAAGTCTGGCCGGTTGAGATGCAGAAGCCTAATTAGAGCTGTCGGCCTGGGGATGCCACTGCGCAGGCGCACTCCGCGGTTGCTAGGGCAATACAGCCCAGTCTCAGTGATCTTCCCATCGGTAGCATTCCAAAGTCTGAATGCTAAGGGCAGGGCTTCTAGCGACGAGAAAATGAGTAATTGGAAAGTCTGGTCTGAAAGGGTTCTTGAAAATGGGGTGGGGTGGGGTTGTCAGGCGGGAGAGTATCCAACTCAAAATCTGGGACCTTGGAACAAAATCTTGCCTGTGTGCTAAACAGCAATTCTCTCATTCTTCAGCTCCCTTGGACTGTTAACCCATACATGCTTGTGAGACGGGAGAGGGTATGGAAGCAAGCACGTTAAGTTGCCAAGTTTTTTTTACTCTGACTTTTTGGATTGGTGCAATTTCTGGGTCCACAAACATGTCAGCTCTTCTGGGGGGCTCCAGTAAAGAGAGAAAGAAATCTGCCAAGGGGAACATGTAGCATCTGGACAACGATGATCAATGTAATGCTGCCAATTGTTTTAATACTAAATATGCGTCAGGCACTGTGCTGGGTTCTTCATGTTCTTAGATCTAATCTTTCCACCATTTCTCTAAGAAGCATTTTAATAGTCCCACTTAACACTACAGGAAACTGAGGCTTAACTAATATGCCCAAGGTCACACAGCCAGTCAATGAGAACTGGGCTTGGAGTCCAAGGATCCCCACTCTGGGCCTGTCCAATAATTCCCCTCAAATTTTCTGACTTTTGGAATATACAAAGAAAGGCTGCATGGTCAGAGTGGAGAAGCAAGATGATAGCACTCAGGAGAATGAAAGTGAAGCTGAAATTTCTCCAGGCTCTTCCTTGTTCCACCACTGGGGCTCCATGAGAGCTGTCTTGGTATAGAGTATGCATTTCTGTCCAGTCTCCCTACTCTGACCTATGAGTCTTCTCCAGCTGAACCTCTTCAAGCCTCCAGCCTTATCTGCTTATCTCATTTAGAGAGCGTCAAATATCATCGTTTCTGGAGCTCCAGAAGTGTTAAGTAATTTTTTTGGAATCTTGAAAGAACAATGACCTGAAAGAACTTCTGACCTGCCCAGGGTTGCTCAGAGTTGAAGAACAGAAGTGGGAAATAGCCCTGTGTCACAGAGACCACGTGCAGTTTTCCAGAAGTGACAAGAGTGAGACTTGCAGGGCACATGCCTATGGTGTGGGAAAAGGTATAGTCTCTCTGTGTCCACAGCCATTCCTTTGAAGACCAAGAGAGATTTGAGTACTCCCATCCTTTAGGCACCAATTTAGAATTAACGCCCACTAAGAAACACTTAGGGGTAGAAGTGAGTGTCTGGTAAACAAGACTTACAGAGGATGCTGTACAAATTACTCCAATGCAAGTCACTATTAAGCCTTTAGAACACCAGACAAAATATCTTTCTTATCTTTGTGAACTCATTTGGAAGATGGAAAGGCCTGAGTTCATTTGCAGACTCTGTGGGCCATCAATGTCCACCAAGTATTGAAGTTTTGGCCATGTTGGGGCTTGCAGAATAGGTATTGGTTAGATATGGATTCATCATCCTGTATATATTCCATCCAGAATTCCCTTTAACCTATGATTTGGATCCTTCCTAGGGAGACAACACGGAGAATATAATCACTTTCAGTTCCTGAGTCCTAGGAGTGCCCTCTTTCAGGGATGAGTGGTTAGAAAATCTTTTCCTGCCCCTTCTCTACATCAGCTTCATACACACACAAGCCATCCAGAAATAAACATACAAACCAAGCAAAAGCTGAGCTAGACTGGCATATGTGGATTTCAAGGAAATTCCCCCTGCCCCAAGGATTGCTGCCCCTAAATCCTCCAATACTGACAATCTAGACCAACTCATAAGTGTCTTTCATGTTCAGACAAGACCCCTGCAGTCTCCTTCTTCTTTCTTAGAGGGGATCTCCAGACAGTAAGATTTCTCGTTGAACAGGGTTTGTCTTCCATCTCAATGAGTGCTCAACAATATCTTTAGGAATTCTCTGCAGGCAGGATTTGAAGATAGTTGCCAAAAAAAGTTGCAAAAAAGTGTACCCTGAAATATTAATACTTTTGCTCTCTAGAAACCATAGGAATAAACAAGCACCTGATAAGGATGGGGCAATATATTTGGAATGGTTAAGAACTCTAGATCTGGACGGTACTTTTTCTGTCACTTACTAGCTGTGTGAACTTGGGAAAGTTACTCACATCTTTCTAGGCCACTTAATGCTGTTTTCAATAAATTGATAGAAAATCCCAGTCACATATCTACCATTTGATGATTTCAGAACTGTGACCCAAACCAGTTGTATCTTAGTCTAGTGATATTTCCATGCCATACAACTGCTTTTAAAACTACTACTTGTCAACACCTGGGTAGCTGAAGTCAAACAACATCTGGGTTGTTAGAATCACTAGTCTTTGTTTTCTTTAGAAAATACTTCAGGCAAATGTTAACCCCAGGTGGTTATGAATTAGTGAGGTTTAGGTGCATCAAGAATATATTATTTGTAGACTCCAATACACAAGATATTTTTATGGAAGCATATGGGTGGTCTATTTAAGCAGACCTCAGTGTCCTACAGGAAACCACCTGCTGACTTGCCACTCAGGGCTTCAGTCAGTGAGGATGATTTCCTTTCTAAGGGGAAAGAGTTAGGGAGGGAGTTGGGAGCTGAGGCCTAAGGTCCAAGCAGCCTCTTTCAAACTGTTCTTCTCTTGAGAACATCTTCTTTGGCATGGGCTAGACAGGATAAAGTTTCTGTCCTCTAAGTGTTCACTTCTTTGGTAATATAGAAGGGAAGGAGGATAGAGAAAGGGAAGACACAAGAATAGCCATTGTTTCTAAAGTTGACCTCTCTACTGAAGACTTGACCTGCTCAGGCCACAGCTCAGACGAGCTTATTTTCCTGTAGAGGCTGCAGGAAAATGGTACCCTGGCGAAGGACCCAGCCTGGATTGCCTCCTTCTGCAAGATAAAGAGGGCTGCTGTCCTGGAAGAAGGTATTTATCATTCCAGGTGGTAAAGGAGATCACCCTGAGATCCAGCTGTGGGGGCCAGGTATGGAGAGCTGGTTGCACACAGGATTGTTCCCCTTTCTCTGTAATGGGGGTGGGGGTTGCAAAAGGCCTAGGAGGGAGGGAGTAAGAAAAATAATCTTTGGCAGGTTGTTAACATCAACCATTTATATAATGTTTTGTCACATAAATATAGCCATGGACATCCTTAGAGTTTCTAACAGGGGAGAACTGCAGAACTCCTGGAACTAACACTTCTGTCCAAACCCCTGTAGTAGTAAGGGAACTAACTAAACTCTAGCATGGTTTCTCACAGCCTAAGGCTGGGTCCCTATAATTGACCCCAAACCCCACTAAAATGACTGCCTGAGAAAGTTCAATGCTGCCAGGAAAATATACTGTTTGTTCTTGCCAAAATCTGATGATAAGACCCTGACCTCCCTTTTTTAGAGCACTTATTTAAAAGGGCTTATTACAGTGAATATGTATCTCTTACAATTTAGAAATGTCTCTCCCAAGGACCTGAGAGCCATTTCTTTGAAATGTAATCAAGAAAGATAGGAACCCTGTCTTCCAGTCTCTGTGGAAGGACAAATCCTAACTTTGATAACTGCCGGCTAACAAACACAGATGGCCTAAACACAGTGCATTTACACTGACCAATATTTTGTAGTTTTCACTTCTCTGACTCTACTCAGCCCCCAACATCATTCTCCCTTTAAAATGCCCAAACCACCTTTGCACAAATTGGAATGGAGCTCAGCTTTTTTCAGCATTGTTAGTAGTTACTGAATAAGATCTGTTTTCACTACTTTAAGTATCTTTGACACGGGGAGGATGAATAGTAGCCAGACATGTGCTGAATGAAGATAATTCACTCTCCAGCTCTGAGAGGGAACAAACTAGTTAGTCCCTGAGGTGAATGGTAAAGCCAGTACCTCTTTTCTAGATAGCCTTTATTGCCTACTCCACCCACGAGGAACCACACCCAGCTCTGCCCAGCCCTCAGGTAGTTCCACTTGAGGCTGTCCTGCCCCCCTGAAACCCCTATACACTGGAGAAGCCCAGAGATGTCTGGCCTATCTGAAGACCACTTACCCAGTTCAATTTAATAAGCAATTTTGAAACACTTGTTATATGTTGGCCTTATTGTATTAGACACTGGGGTACAGGGATGAATTAGATGTGACCCCTGTCTAATCTGTGTTCTAACTCAATACTCAGCCTTGACTCTGTCGAAATATATGAGCAATCTATTAATGGTTTTATTTCAGTGCATACCTGTTTCATTTATAAAATTTCCAGTTGTTTCTTTTTTAAAATATACCTTATTGTTAAAGAAGATTCCTGTTCTTGTCTTACAAATTACAGTCCCTTTTTCGTCTCTTTCAATATTTAAACCAGATTTATCTTTAAAGTTATTTTTACATTGATCTACTATTGTGTGTTTCATTAATTGTGAATTCTGCCATTTGTTGAGTCTGATTATTATCTAACACTTCAAACTATAAAACTACTACAAGAAAATATCACAGAAATTCTCCAAGACACTGGACTAGGCAAAGATTCGAGTAGTACCTCACAAGCACAGACAACCAAAGCAAAAATGGATAAATGAGATAATATCTAGTTAAAAGCCTTCTAAAAATTATAGGCAAGGTGGCTCACTCAGTGCAGCCAAGTGAAATATCTGCCACCAAGAGACTAGGACATTGGGAAGCCTGGCACACTCCAAGCATATATTTGGAGGAAAGACAATGAGAATTGATGGAGGGAAGACTCAGATGCTGGGCTATAGAGAAAGGAAGGTGGGAACCCTGCAAGGGACTTCCATGCACTGGGACTTGTTCCTGGCCACCAGCCACTCCCAGGGAAAAGGTAAGTTGAGCAGGTGAGGAGCAACCTGCCCACACCATGGATCTCTGGAATTCTGGCAGCAGGAGACCCCCTAACCTGCATGGACACTTGTAGTGGCAGGCAGAGCTGCTTAGAGAAGTGGTAGAGGCAGAAGACCAGCCAGTGTGGAACCCAAGGGATTTGGTGTGTGAGTGTCGTCAGTGGAGTACAGCCAGGGATGTCCATCCCCCAAGGCTCACCTTTACTCCCCTAGTGCACATGCTTGCAGTGCAGCCTTGGGTGCCCAGCTGGAATGCCTCCTGGAGACACACATCACAGTTCCTGCACTGACAGACCATGCCTCACATTTGCAGAGCTCCAGCAGAGCAGCTTCTACTGGTGCACACAAGCCCACCCACACACTCCCCCAACTACAGCCTCCTCTGTGCCCCTTTGGCAGCACAAATTTGCCCACAGCTACCCCTGACATTGCTTTGTCAGTGCATGTGCATGCTGGTTGACCTCAACTCCCTTCCCTGCCAGCATGCATTTATGTATGCACCCCACTATGCCACTACTCTGTATGTGAGCACACCCTGCCCACTCCTGCTGCACCACCATTGCTTGCATGTGTGCATAGAGACCAGAAGCCCTGGCCTCCACCCTGTGTTGCCACTGCTGCTTGTGTGAATGCATGCATGGAGGGCACTAGTTTCATATCTGCCGGTGTCATGCTTCCACACCAACACTGCCACCAACATGAATGCATGAATGGAAATCAACAGCCCCACCCCTCCCACATACTGTGCCACCACCACTGCTACTATAAATGCCCACATGGAAGCTGGCAACCCTGTGCCTTCCAGACTCCTTATCCAGCCAATGAGTGTGCACCATGCTGTGATTCCACCACTGCTGGCAGGTGGGAATTAGCATAGATTCTACTGCCACCACCCAGTGAAGTGTTTGATTGGCACCACCCATTGGAGTGTTGTAACCACCAGCCTTGGAATACATCAACCCCTCTAGCACAGCAGGTTCCTAATATCAAGAAGCCAAAGAACAAAGGTGGGGACCTAATATCAGCCCCCCAGAGTTAGTACATGAGGCCCAGGAGTCCTGAGGTGAGCCTTGGCCTCCTAAAATCTTCCAGAAACAAAGTCTGTTGACTGAGTCTACCACAACCAAACCCCTAAAGACATCAAAGAAGACAAAAAAATCTACCCAATGCTTTCCAAAGAAACAGGAACATCAATTATTGAAGAAACATCAGCCCACAAAAATGAGAAAAAAAGCAGATCAAGAAGCCTGGCAACTAAGAAAGCTAGTGTCTTCTTCCCTTCAAAAGACTGCACTTTTCCCCCAGGAATGGTTCTTAACCAGGCTGAAATGGCAGAAGTAGAATTCAGAATAAGGATAGGAATGGAGATCCTTGAAATTCAGGATAAAGTCAAAACCTAATCCAAGGTTTCTAAGGCATACAATGAAACGGTAAAAGAGATGAAAGGCAATATGGCCACTTTTAGAAAGAATCAAAGTGATATGATAAAACTTAAAAACTAACTTCAAGAATTTCACAATGCAATCACAGTATTAACAGCAGAACTGACCAAGATGAGGAAAGAATCTCCGGGCTCAAAGGCTGGCTCTCTGAAATAACTCAGTCAAACAAAATAAAGAAAAAACAATAAAGAAGTACAAACAAGCCTCCATGAAATATGGGATTACCTAAAGAGACCAAAACTATGACCTATTGGTATCCCTGAAAGAAAGAAAAAGTTTGCACTTCCCCTTTGCCCATTGATTCTGCTCAAGAAAATTCACATTTGGTCAAAATTAGTACAAAGTTCAGCTAGAAGCTTCTTTCACCCTGTGGCCCTTCCTTAATTCCAATGGCTTTGTACGCCCAAGGAAACCTATGAGATAAACACAAGGATGATTTCCACAAGCTCAAGCTGGAAACCAGGAGCGCCTACAGGGCTCTTTCCATTGATTCTTCTACTTTTATATTTTGCTAAGCTTCCTAAATCCATTTCAGCTCTAGGTAAGGTAAAATCTTTCTTCCATGATTTATCACTTCTTTGGTTAAGTTAATTTCTAGGTATTTTATTTTATTTGTGGCTATTTTAAATAAGATTGCTTTTTCAATTTCTTTTTCAGATTGTTCACTGCTGGCATATAGAAATGCTACTGATTTTTGTAAGTTGATTTTGTATCCTGCAATTTTGTTTACTAGTTCTAATAGATTTGGTGGAATCTTTACACTTTTCCAAATATAAGGTTATATCATCTGCAAACAAACATACTTTGACTTCTTCCTTTCCAATATAAATGCCCTTTACTTCTTTTTCTTGCCTGCTCTAGCTAGGACTTCCAGTACCATGTTGAACAGCAATGATGAAAGTAAGCATCAATGTCATGTCCTAGATCTCAGAAAAATATAGCTGGCAGGTTTTCCCTACTCAGTATGATACTAGCTGTGTGTCTGTGACATATGTCTTTTATTGTGTTCAGGTATGTTCCCTCTGTACCAAGTTTTTCAGGGTTTTTTTTTTTTATCATAAAGGGATGTTCCATTTTGTCCAATTTTTTTCAGCATCAATTGAAATTTCATTCTGTTGACATGATGTATCACAGTGATTGATTTGCATGTGGTAAGCCATCCTTACATCCCTAGGATAAATCCAACATGGTTATGATGAATAATCTTTTTAATACGTCATTATATTTGGTTTGCTAGTATTTAATTGAGAATCTTTGTGTCAATGTTCATCAAGAATACTGGCCTGTGGTTTTCTATTTTTGATGTGTCTTTTTCTGGTTTTGGTATCAGGGTAATACCGTCCTTGTACCAAGAGTTTGGAAGTATTCATTCCCCTATTTTTCAGAACAGTTTGAATAGGATTGGTATTAGTTCTTCTTTAAATGTCAAATTTCAGCAGTGAAGCTATCAGGTCCAAGACTTTTCTTTGCTGAGAGACGTTGATTATGGCTTTGATCTCATTACTTGTTATTGCTCTGATCATGTTTTGGATTTCTTCTAGGTTCAATCTTGGTAGGTTGCATTATCTAAAAAATTATCCACTTCTAGGTTTTCCAATTTATTGGCATACAGTTGCTCATAGTAGCCTCTAATGATCCTTTGAATTTCTGTATTATCAGTTGTAATGTCCCCTTTTTCATTTCTCATATTATTCATTTGGGTTTTTTCTCTTTTTTTTTAAGGTAAAGGTTTGAGAATTTTTTTATGTTTTCAAAAGACAAACTTTTCATTTTGTTGATCTTTTGTATTGTTTTATTTGTTTCCATTTTATTTATTTATGTTCTGATCTTTATTATTTCCTTTCTTCTACCAATTTTGAATTTGCTTTGCTCTTGCTTTTCTAGCTCTTGAAGATGGATCATTTGGTTGTTTATTCGAAGTTTTTTTAATTTTCTGATGTAGGCACTTACAGATACAAACTTCCCTCTTAATACTGCATACGTGGTATCCCATAGGTTTTGTTATGTTGTATTTCCATTATCATTTGTTTCAAAAATTTTTTATTTCCTTTTTAATTTCTTTATTGATCCACTGGTCATTCAGAAACACATTTTTAAAATTTCCATGTATTTGCATAGTTTCCAAATTTCTCTTGTTATTGATTTCTAGTTTTGCGTCATCTCTGAAGTCTGAGATGATACTTGATATAAAATTTAATTTTAATTTTAATTTTTAAGACGTGTTTTTTAGCCTAAAATATGATTTATCCTTGAAAATAATCTATGTGCTGAGAAGAATGTGCATCTGCAGCCATTTGATAAAATGTTCTATAAATATCTATCTGGTCCATTTGATCTATAGCACAGATTAAGCCTGATGTTTCCTTGCGGATTTTCTGTCCAAATGATTTGTCCAATGATGAAAGAGGAAGTTAAAGTCTCCTGTTCTTATTATATTGTAGCCTATCTCTGTATTTAGCTCTAATAATGTTTGCTTTATACATCTTGATTCTCCAGTGTTGAGTGCATATATATTTACATATCCTTTTGCTGGATTGACCCCTTTACCATTACATAATGACATTCTTTGTCTCTTTTTAAAGTTTTTGTCTTGAAATCTATTTTGTCTGATATATGTATAGCTACTCCTGCTCTTTTTTGGTTTCCAATGGCATGGAATATCTTTTTTCATCCTTTATATTCACTCTATGTGTGTTTTATAGGTGAAGTTTGTTTCTTGTAGGCAACAGATTCTTAGGTCTCTTTTTTTTTTAATCCATGCATCTACTCTTTGTCTTTTGACTGAAGTGCTCAGTCCATTTACATTGAATGCTATTATTGATAAGTGAGGTCTCACTCCTGAAATTTTGATTTTTTTCTGGTTGTTTTGTGATCCTCTCTTTTTCTTCCTTCCTTCTTGTCTTCCTTTAGAGGATAATTTTCCCTGGTGGTGTATTTCAATTTCTTGCTTTTTTCTGTGTGTGCATTGCTGTTAGAATGAGGCTTGCAAATACTATCTTATAACTCGGTATTTTAAAGTAATTATAACTTAAAACTGAGTGCATAAAGAAACTAACAAGCAAAAAGGCAACCAATATCAACTACACTTTTTTTATTATACTTTAAGTTTGAGGACACATGTGCACAACATGCAGGTTAGTTACATATGTATACATGTGCCATGATGGTGTGCTGCACCCATTAACTCGTCATTTAATATTAGGTATATCTCCTAATGCTATCCCTCCCACCCACCCCAACAACTCTACACTTTTTAATTTCATTCTTGGACTTCTTAAGTTTTTGTTGTTGCTATTTACATCTTACTGAACTGCTTAAGTCTTGAAAGGTTGTGGTTATTATTTTTTACTGCTTTAGTTTCAGTCTTTCTACTCAAGATGTCAGTAATTTACACACCAATAATAGTGTTATAATATTCTTGTTTTTGTGTTTACTTGCTATTATCAGTGAGTTCTGTACCTTCAGATGATTTGTTCTTGCTCATTAACATCCTTTTGTTTCAGACTGAAAAACTCCTTTTAGCTGTAGAACTGTAGGACAGTTCTGCTGTTGGTGAAATCTAGTTTATTTGCGTAGAGGTGTTTGTAGTATTCTCTGATGGTAGTTCGTATTTCTGTGGGATCAGTGGTGATATCCCCTTTATCATTTTTTATTGTGTCTATTTGATTCTTCTCTCTTTTCTTCTTTATTAGTCTTGCTAGCAGTCGATCAATTTTGTTGATCCTTTCAAAAAAACAGCTCCTGGATTCATTAATTTTTTGAAGGGTTTTTGGGTCTCCATTTCCTTCAGTTCTGCTCTGATTTTAGTTATTTCTTGCCTTCTGCTAGCGTTTGAATGTGTTTGCTCTTGCTTTTCTAGTTCTTTTAATTGTAAATAGACCAAAAACAGGCTCTGAAATTGTGGCAATAATCAATAGCTTACCAACCAAAAAGAGCCCAGGACAAGATGGATTCACAGCCGAATTCTACAAGGGGTACAAGGAGGAACTGGTACCATTCTTTCTGAAACTATTCCAATCAACAGAAAAAGAGGGAATCCTCCCTAACTCATTTTATGAGGCCAGCATCATCCTGATACCAAAGCTGGGCAGAGACACAAGCAAAAAAGAGAATTTTAGACCAATATCCTTGATGAACATTGATGCAAAAATCCTCAATAAAATACTGGCAAACCGAATCCAGCAGCACAACAAAAAGCTTATCCACCATGATCAAGTGGGCTTCATCCCTGGGATGCAAGGCTGGTTCAATATACGCAAATCAATAAATGTAATCCAGCATATAAACAGAACCAAAGACAAAAACCACATGATTATCTCAATAGATGCAGAAAAGGCCTTTGACACAATTCAACAACCCTTCATGCTAAAAACTCTCAATAAATTAGGTACTGATGGGCCGTATCTCAAAATAATAAGAGCTAACTATGACAAACTCACAGCCAATATCATACTGAATAGCCAAAAACTGGAAGCATTCCCTTTGAAAACTGGAACAAGACACGGATGCCCTCTCTCACCACTCCTATTCAACATAGTGTTGGAAGTTCTGGCCAGGGCAATTAGGCAGGAGAAGGAAATAAAGGGTATTCAATTAGGAAAAGAGGAAGTCAAATTGTCCCTGTTTGCAGATGACATGATTGTATATCTAGAAAACCCCATTGTCTCAGCCCAAAATCTCCTTAAGCTGATAAGCAACTTCAGCAAATTCTCAGGATACAAAATCAATGTGCAAAAATCACAAGCATTCTTATACACCAATAACAGACAAACAGAGAGCCAAATCATGAGTGAACTCCCATTCACAATTGCTTCAAAGAGAATAAAATACCTAGGAATCCAACTTATAAGGGATGTGAAGGACCTCTTCAAGGAGAACTACAAACCACTGCTCAAGGAAATAAAAGAGGATACAAACAAATGGAAGAACATTCCATGCCCATGGGTAGGAAGAATCAATATCATGAAAATGGCCATACTGCCCAAGGTAATTTGTAGATTCAATGCCATCCCCATCAAGCTACCAATGACTTTCTTCACAGAATTGGAAAAAACTACTTTAAAGTTCATATGGAACCAAAAAAGAGCCTGCATTGCCAAGTCAGTCCTAAGCCAAAAGAACAAAGCTGGAGGCATCATGCTACCTGACTTCAAACTATACTACAAGGCTACAGTAAACAAAACGTCATGGTACTGGTACCAAAACAGAGAAATAGATCAATGGAACAGAACAGAGCCCTCAGAAATAATGCCACAGATCTACAACTATCTGATCTCTGACAAAACTGACTAAAACAAGCAACAGGGAAAGGATTCCCTATTTAATAAATGGTGCTGGGAAAACTGGCTAGCCAGATATAGAAAGCTGAAACTGGATCCCTTCCTTACGCCTTATACAAAAATTAATTCAAGATGGATTAAAGACTTAAATGTTAGACCTAAAACCATAAAAACCCTAGAAGAAAACCTAGACATTACCATTCAGGACATAGGCATGGGCAAGGACTTCATGTCTAAAACACCAAAAGCAATGGCAACCAAAGCCAAAATTGACAAATGGTATCTAATTAAACTAAAGAGCTTCTGCACAGCAAAAGAAACTACCATCAGAGTGAACAGGCAACCTACAAAATGGGAGAAAATTTTCGCAACCTACTCATCTGACAAAGGGCTAATATCCAGAATCTACAAGGAACTTAAACAAATTTACAAGAAAAAAACAAACAACCCCATCAAAAAGTGGGCAAAGGACATGAACAGACACTTCTCAATGAAGTCATTTATGCAGCCAAAAAACACATGAAAAAATGCTCACCATCACTGGCCATCAGAGAAATGCAAATCAAAACCACAATGAGATACCATCTCACACCAGTTAGAATGGCAATCATTAAAAAGTCAGGAAAAAACAGGTGCTGGAGAGGATGTGGAGAAATAAGAACACTTTTACACTGTTGGTGGGACTGTAAACTAGTTCAACCATTCTGGAAGTCAGTGTGGCGATTCCTCAGGGATCTAGAACTAGAAATACCATTTGACCCAGCCATCCCATTACTGGGTACATACCCAAAGGACTATAAATCATGCTGCTATAAAGACACATGCACACGTATGTTTATTGCGGCACTATTCACGATAGCAAAGACTTGGAACCAACCCAAATGTCCAACAATGATAGACTGGATTAAGAAAATGTGGCACATATACACCGTGGAATACTATGCAGCCATAAAAAATGGTGAGTTCATGTCCTTTGTAGGGACATGGATGAAATTGGAAATCATCATTCTCAGTAAACTATCGCAAGAACAAAAAACCAAACACCGCATGTTCTCACTCATAGGTGGGAATTGAACAATGAGAACACATGGACACAGGAAAGGGAACATCACACTCTGGGGACTGTTGTGGGGTGGGGGGATGGGGGAGGGATAGCTTTAGGAGATATACTTAATGCTAAATGATGAGTTAATGGGTGCAGCACACCAGCATGGCACATGTGTACATATGTAACTAACCTGCACATTGTGCACATGTACCCTAAAACTTAAAGTATAATAAAATAAAATAATATAAAATATAAAAGGAGACTAGGGTGAAAACTTAAAAAAAATGATGCATGATTTTTTCCTTTAGCATTTTAAATATGTTATGTCATGTCATTCTCTCATGGCCTATAAAATTTCTGCTAAAAAATCTGCTGCCAGACATATTGAAGCTCCATTATATGTTATTTTTTTCTCTTGTTTCTATTAAGACCCTTTGATCTTTGGGTGTTTGAGTATTAATTGCCTTGAGGTAGTCTTCTTTGGGTTAAATCTGCTTGTACTTCTATTTAAATATTGATATTTTTCTGTGGTTTTGGGAAATCTTCTGTTATCATCATTTTGAATGAACTTTCTATCCCCATCTATTTCTCTACCTCCTGTTTAAGATCAATACCACGGATTTGCCCTTTTAAGGTTATTCTCTAGATCCTGTAGGTGTGCTTCATTCTTTTTTATTCTCTTTTCTTTTGTCTCCTCTGACTGTGTATTTTCAAATAACCTGTCTCCAGGCTCAGCATTTCTTTCCTCTGATTGATCAGTTTTGCTGGTAAGAGAGAGTGATGCTCCCCTTCCTGTGTCCATGTGTTCTCATTGTTCGATTCCCACCTATGAGTGAGAACATGCGGTGTTTGGTTTTTTGTCCTTGCGATAGTTTGCTGAGAATGATGGTTTCCAGCTTCATCTATGTCCCTAAAAAGGACATGAACTCATCCTTTTTTATGGCTGCATAGTATTCCATGGTGTTGCAGCACACCAACATGGCACATGTATACATATGTAACAAATCTGCATATTGTGCACGTGTACCCTAAAACTTAAAGTATAATTAAAAAAAAGAAAAAAAAAGAGAGAGAGTGATGCATTCTTCCGTATTGCAATGGTATTTTTCAGCTCCAGATTTTCTGCTTGATTCTTTTCACTTATTTCATTCTTTTTGTTAAATTTATCGGATAGTATTCGGAATTTTTCCTCTGTGATATCTTGAATTTCGTTCACTTTCCTCAAAACAATTATTTTTCATTCTCTTTCAAAGATGTCACATGTCTCTCTCTCTAGGATTGCTCCCTGGTGCCTTATTTAGGCTGTTTGGTAAGGCCATGTTTCCAGGTTAGTCTTGTTGTTTATGTTTGTGGATATTCCTTGATGTCTGGACATTGAAGAGTTGAGTATTTATTGTAGTCTTTATAGTCTGGGATTGTTTGTACCCATTCTTCTTGGAAAGTCTTTCGAGGTATTTGAAGGGACTTGGGTTTTGTAATCTAAGTTTCTGGCCACTGCAGCCATATCTGCATTAGGAGGTACCCCAAGCACAGTAATGCCATGACTCTTGAAGAGTAGTAGATGTACCGCCTTGGTGGTCTTGGGTACAATCCAAAGGAATTCTCTGTATTACAAGGCAAAGGCTCTTGTTCCCTTTTCTTACTTTCTTCCAAATAAATGGAGCCTCTGTCTTGCAGAGCTGCCTGGAGCTTGGGGAAGAGGGACATTAGAACCCTTGTGGCCACCATCACTTGAACTGTGCTTGCTCAAACCTGAAGCCAGCAAGGGGCTGTTTCTCCCCTAAGGCCCATGGTAACAATGATCTACCTAACACCTACGTCTGCTCAAACTTCTAGAGCTGTATAATCAGCAGGTAGCAAAGCCAGCCAGGCTTCTGTCCATCCCTACAAGTTGGCAAGTTCCCATTTTCAGGCAAGTCCAGAATTGTCATCCAGGAGCCAGAGCCTGGAATCAGCAATCTTAGGAATCTACCTGGTACCCTGGTTTACTGTGGCTGAGGTGGCACCCAAGCCACAAGAGAAAGCCATTCCTACCCTTTCTTCCCCTTTTCACAAGAATTGGAGTTTCTCTCTCTGGCCACCACCACCCCAGGACCATGGTGAGTACTGCCTGGACTGGAACCCTCCCTTCCAGGAAGCGAGTTACCCTCTGTACAAGGGAAGTTTCATAAATGCCTTCCACAAACCAGTGCCTGGTATTGAAAAACCCAATTGCCCTCTTGGTGCTCTACCTCACTGTGGCCAAGCTGGTATCCAAGCTGCAAGACAAAGTCCCCTTTACTCTTTTCTCATATTTCCTCAAGCAGAAAGAGTCTTTCCCGCATAGCCACCAGAGCTGGGAATGTGCTGGGTCAAATCTGAAGCTATTAAGTCTCTGTGTCTAACCCAAGGCCCATGGAAAGTACTGTACTGCCTGGATATTGTTGCTGATTACTCATGGCCCAGGGGATCTTTACTTGGCAGGTGATTAATCCTGTCTCCACATTGATTTCTAAGCTACTGCTATCGTCTCATGGAGACATATATTTACATTTTAGAGCTGTTCTATCATTTCTTCTTGCAACAGAAATGATATGTTTTATGTTTTAATAATTTTGCAGGGTATCACTGTGATAAGCATTATGAGAGTAAAAACTTTGTTCTCATAAACGACTATTGCCTTACAATAATTTCCATTAGACAACATCTTCAGGGTCAGAAGATACACAAAGTTTTAAGGTCATAGCAAATATTTTCTAGAGAAAACCCAGAGTGATGCATATACATTTGCACTTGAATCAACAGGATTTGAAAACACCAGTCGGCAAGCCAATAGCTAGTGTAAAGGAACATGAAAATCTATTATTCTTTTTATGTATTTTAACTGCTTTATTGAGATATAATTCACATACTATGTTATTGGCCTATTTAAAGTGTATAATTCAATGGTTATCAGTGTATTTACAGACTTGTACAACCATCATCACAATCTTATTTAGAACATTTTAGTCATTACAAAAATAAAACCCATATCCATTAGCAATCACTCCCCATTCACTTCTTTCTTGAGACCTAGGCAACCATAAGTATACTTTCTGTATCCATAAATTATTCTATTCTAGACATTTCATATAAAAGGAGACATGCATTATATTGTCTTTTGTGACTTCTTTTTTTCTATATATTTATTTTTAATTTTTAAGTTGAGGAATACATGTGCAGGCTTATTACATAGGTAAACTTGGGTCATGGGGGGTTTGGTGTACAGATTATTTCATCATTCAGGTATTAAGCCTAGTATCCATTAGTTAGTTTTCCTGATCATCTCCCTCCTCCCAATCTTCACCTTCTGATAGACCCCAGTGTGTATTGTTCCCCTCTATGTGTCCATGTGTTCTCATCATTTAGCTGTCACTTATAAGTGAGAACATGTGGTGCTTGGTTTTCTGCTCCAGCATTAGTATACTGAGGATAATGTCCTCCAGCTCCATCCATGTACTTGCAAAGGACGTAATTTTGGGTTTTTTATGGCTGCATAGTATTCCATGCTACATATGTACCACATTTTCTTTATCCAGTCTATCACTGATGGTCATTTAGATTGATTTCATATCTTTAGTATTGTGAATAGTGGCTGCAATAATATATATGCATGCATGTGTCTTTATAATAGAATGATGTATATCTCTTTGTGTATATACCCAGTAATGGGATTGCTGGGTCAAGTAGTATTTCTGTCTTTAGGTCTTTGAGGAATAACCAAACTGTCATCCACAATGGTTGAATGAATGTACACTCCTACCAAAATTGTATAAGCATTCCTTTTTTTCACAACTTCGCCAGTATCCATTATTTTTGACTTTTTAATAATAGACATTCTGACTGGTGTGACACGGTATCTCATTGTGATTTTGATTTGCATTAATCTAATGATCAGTGATGTTGAGCTTTCCTTCATACAGTTTTTGGCCACACGTACGTCTTCTCTTGATAATTGCCTGTTCATGTCCTTTGCCAACTTTTTAATGAGTTTGTTTTTTTTCTTGTAAATTTATTTAAGTTCCTTATAGATGCTGAATAGCAGACCTTTATCAGATGCATAGTTTGCAAACATTTTCTCCCATTCTTTAGGTTGTCTCTTTATTCTGCTGATGGTTTATTTTGCTGTGCAGAAGCTCTTTAGTTTAATTAGTTCCCATTTGTCAATTTTTGCTTTGGTTGCAATTGATTTTGTCATTTTTGTCATGAATTATTTGACCATGCCTATGCCCCGAATGACATTGCCTATGTTGACTTTCAAGGTTTTTCTTGTTTTCAGTTTTATATTTAAGTATTTTTAATACATCTTGAGTTAATTTTGTATATAGTGTAAAGAAGGAGTCCGGTTTCAATCATCTGCATCCACCTAGCCAGTTACACTAGCATTATTTATTGAATAGGGAATCCTTTCCCCATTGCTTGTTTTTGTCAAGTTTGTCAAAGATCAGGTAGTTGTAGGGGTGTGGTCTTTTTTTCTGGATTCTCCATTCTGTTCCATTGGCCTATGTGTCTATTTTTGTGCCAGTACTATGCTGTTTTGGTTACTGTAACCCTGTAGAGTAGTTTAAATTCAGGTGGTGTAATGCCTCAGGCTTTGTTCTTTCTGCTTAAAATTTCCTTAACCACTTGTGCTTTTTCTTTCCATGTGATTTTTAAAATAGTTTTTTCTAGCTCTGTTCATGTGGTTTTTAAAATAGTCTTTCTAGCTCTGTGAAGAATCTCAATGGCTTTAAAAATAAGAACAGCAGTGAATCTATAAATTGCTTTGGGCAATATGGCCATTTTAGAGACATTGATTCTTCCTATCCATGAATGAATGAATGAATGAAATATTTTTCATTCATTTGTGTCATCTCTGATTTCTTTGAGCAGTGGTCTGTAGTTCTCCTTGTAGAGACCTTTCACCTTCCTAGTAAGCTGTATTGCTAGGTATTTTATTCTTTCTTGTGACAATAGTGATTGAAAGTTCATTCTTGATTTGGCTCTCAGCTTGACTGTTGTTGGTATAGGAATGTTAGTGATTTTTGCACATTGATTTTGTATCCTAAGACTTTGCTGAAGCTGTTTTTCAGCTTAAGAAGCTTTTGGGCTGAGATGATAGAATTTTCTAGATATAGGATCATATCGCCTGCAAAAAGGGATAATTTGAGTTCCTCTCTTCCTATTTTGAATGTCCCTTCTTTCTTTCTCTTGCCTGATTGCGCTGGCCAGGACTTCCAATATTATGTTGAATAGGAGTGGTGAGAAAGAGCATCCTTGTCTTCTGCCGGCTTTCAAGGGGAATGCTTCCAGCTTTTGCCCATTCAGTATATTGCCTGTGGGTTTGCAATAAATGGCTCTTATAATTTTGAGGTATGTTCTTTCAATATATAATTTATTGAGAGTTTTTAACATGAAGAGATATTAAATTTTTTTTAAAGCTTTTTCTGCATCTATTGAGCTAATCATGTGGTTTTTGTTTTTAGCTCTGTTTATGTGATGAATTGCATTTATTGATTTGCATATTTTGAACAAACCTTGAATCCCAGGGATAAAACCTACTTGATCCTGGTGGATAAGCTTTTTGATGTGCTGCTGGATTCAGTTTCCTAGTATTTTGTGGTGAATTTTTGCATTGATATTCATAAAAAATATTGCTCTGAAGTTTTCTTTTTTTGTAGTATCTCTTACAGGTTTTGGCATCAGGATGATGCTGAATACTGGTCTGAAGTTTTCAGACCAATAACATCAGTTAGGAAGGCCCCATAGCATGAGTTACAGAGGAGTCCCTTCTTTTCCATTTTTTGAATAGCTTCAGTGGGAATGGCACTGGCTCTTCTTTGTACATCTGGTAGAATTCAGCTGTGAATCTTTCTGGTCCTGAGCTTTTTTTGGTTCGTAGACTATTTATTACTGTCTCAATTTCAGAACTCATTATGGGTTTGTTTAACGGTTCAATTTCTTCCTGGTTCAGTCTTGGGAGGGTGTATGTGCCCAGGAATTTATCCATTTCTTATAGATTTTCTAGTTTATGTACATAGAGGAATTAATAATATTTTCTGATGGTTGTTTGTATTTCTGTGGTGCCAGTGGTAATATCCCCCTTGTCATTTCCTTTTTTTTTTTTTTTTTTTTTGAGAAGGAGTCTCGCTCTGTCACCCAGGCTAGAGTGCAGTGGCACGATCTCGGCTCACTGCCAGCTCCACCTCTCGGGTTCACGCCATTCTTACGTGAGTCTTTTCTCTTTTCTTCTTTATTGATCTAGCTAGCAGTCTATCTATTTAATTAATTTTTTCAAAAAAAAAAAGCTCCTGGATTCTTTGATCTTCTGAATGTTTTTTTAATGCCTATATTCTTTAGTTCAGCTCTAATTTTGGTTATTTCTTATCATCTGCTAGCTTTAAAATATGTTTTCTCTTGGCTCTCTAATTCTTTTAGTTGTGACATTAGGTTGTTAACTAGAGATCCTTCTAACTTTTTAACATGGGCAGTTAGTGCTATAAATTTTCCTCTTAACACTGCCTTAGCTGTGTCCCAGAGATTCTGGTATGTTGTCTCTTTGTTCCATTAGTGTCAAAAACCATATTGGTTTCTGCCTTAATTTCATTATTTACTCAAAAGTCATCTAGGAGCAGGTTATTCAATTTCCATGTAATTGTACAGTTCTGAGTAAATTTCTTAATCTTCATTTTGAATTTGATTGCATTGTGTTCTGAGAGACTGTTTGTTATGATTTGAGTTATCTTACGTTTGCTAAGGAGTGTTTTACTTCTGATTATATGATTGATTTTAGAGTAAGTGCAATGTGTTGATGAGAATAATGTATATTCTGTTGGTTTGAGGTCAAAAGTTGTGGAGATAACTATCAGGTCCATTTGATCCAGTGCTGAGTTCAAGTCCTGAATATCATTGTTAATATTCTGTCTCAATGATTGAACTAATATTGTCTGTAGGGTGTTAAAGTCTCCCACTGTTATTGAGTGGGAGTCTAAGACTCTTTGAAAGTCTCTATGTACTTGCTTTATGAAACTGGGTGCTCCTGTGTTGAGTGCATATATATTTAGAATGGCTAGATTATCTTTGTCAACTGAACCCTTTACCATTATATGATGCCCTTCTTTGTCTTCTTTGATCTTTGTTGTTTTAAATTCTGTTTTGTCAGAAACTAGGATTGTTTTTATGTTTTCCATTTGCTTGGTTGGTATTTCTCCATCCCTTTATTTTGAGCCAGTGTGTGTCATTACACGTGAGATGGGTCACTTGAGGGCAACATAGCAATGGGCCTTGGCTCTTTATCCAGCTTGACACTCTGTGACCTTTAATTGGGGCATGTATCCCATTTACATTCAACTTTAGTATTGATATGTCTTTTATCTTGTCATCATAATGCTGGCTGGTTATTTTGCAGACTTGTTTATGTGGTTGATTTATAGTGTCACTGGACTGTGTAATTCAGTGTGTTTTTGTAGTGGCTGGTAACAGTCTTTCCTTTGCATATTGGGTGCTTCCTTCAGGAGTTCTTGTAAGACAGATCTGGTGGTAACAATTTCCCTCAGCATTTGCTTGTCTGAAAAAGATCTGATTTCTCCTTTGCTTATGAAGTTTAGTTTGGCCAGATATGAAATTCTTGGTTTGAATTTCTTTTCTTTAAGAGTGTTGAATATTAGCCCCAAATCTCTTCTGGCTTGTAGGGTTTTAGCTGAGAAATCCACTTTTAGTCCAATGGGCTTCCTTTTGTAGATGACCTGAGCTTTGTCTCTAGCTGTCTTTAACATTTTTCTCATTCATTTCAACCTTGGAGAATCTGATGATTGTGTCTTGGGGATGATCTTCTTGTGGTATATCTTACTGGGGTTCTCAGTATTTCCTGAATTTGTATGTTGGCCTTCCTAGCTACATTGGGGACATTCTCATGGATAATATCCTAAAATATGTTTTCCAAGTTGGTTCCATTCTCCCCATCTCTTTCAGGTACACCAGCCCGTCATAGATTCAATCTCTTTACATAATTCCATATTTCTTGGAGGCTCTGTTCATTTCTTTTTATTCTTTTTTCTCTATTCTTGTCTGCCTGTCTTATTTCAAAAAGACAGTATTCAAGCTCTGAGACTCCTCCATTTGGTCTATTCTGCTATTAATACATGTGATAGAATTATAAAATTCTTGTAGTGTGTTTTTAGCTCTGTCAGGTCAATTGTGTTCTTCTGTATACTGGCTATTTTGTCTGTCAGCTCCTGCAATGTTTTATCATAATTTTTAGCTTTCTTGCAGTGGGTCACAATGTACTCTTGTAGCTCAATGAACTTCATTCCTGTTCATGTTCTGAAATCTACTTCTGTCATTTCAGCCATCTCAGCCTCAGCCTGGTTGTGAACCCTTGCTGGACAGGTGATATGGTCATTTGTAGGAAAGAAGGCACTCTGGCTTTTTGAGTTTTTTGTGTTCTTGCACTGATTCTTTCTCATATTTGTGGGTTTATGTACCTACAATCTTTGAGGTTGCTGACCTTTGGCTGGGTTTCTTTTCTTTTCTTTTCTTTTCTTTTCTTTTCTTTTATTCATGACCTTGATGGTTTGATTGAGGTACAAGTTTGATTCAGCCAAATGGCTTCATTTCAGAAAGCTTTTAGGGGGCCAGTGCTCAGCTCCCAACCCCTGGCCTACATATGCTAACTCTGGGGCCCTGACTTTGTTCTCTGGTCCATGAGGTTTGCAGTCCACTGTGCTGTGGGGCCCAATGTGCAGCAGCTGCAGCAAGAGTGTTAGCAAATACAGGGGTACCTGCCTTCCTGCAGGCATTTACCACAGTGGCAGAGGCTAGGCAGCTGGGGGTGGTGGGGAGCAGAAAGCCCCTGCTGAAGATTGTGTGCACTGTTGCAGTGGAGGTGGTATTGGCTTTTGGAAGGTTGTTGGCCAGCACAGGTCTGGGTGCCTTCTTTGTTCCCTGCAAGCAGGAGTGATCACTCGGGGTGTGGGAGGATACCTTGTTCTCTGTGCAGCATTAGCACAGGGGCTAGGTGCTGGTGGGGGTGGGGCTTGCTGGCTCTGTGCCCACTAAGGCTTCATCTTCATTGGTGTTCAGTGGAGGTGGTGGGGGTGTACTGCAATCCCGTGTGTTGGCAGAGCATGTGAAGCAAAACCTACTCATGCAGACAGGTGCCAGCAAAGGGATGTGGAGAGTTGCCATGGACTTGAGGAAAGCTGCAGTATGAGGATGGAATATGCAGGCTGTGCAGGGCCATAGGGGCCACATTTTTGGCACTCTCCACTGATCAGGCGCAGTCTACTAGTGCAGAAGGTAAGGTGTGTGTCCCCAGGGCATCCAAGACTGCCTTGTAAGCTGGAGTGTCCAGGGTGAAACCCTGAAAGAGGCCAGGAGACCAAGGAGTGCTCAGGTTGGATCAGCCCCATCTGGTGTGCAAGACTGCATGGCAGAGATCAGATCTGACCATTCCCCTAGGTCTGAAGTCTCTTATGGGAGCAAGCTGAGCCAAGAGGGATGGCCGTACCTGGCCACACTCCACTACAGATGCTCCAACACTAAACCCTCTGGGCTCCATATCAGCTGGCTTGCTGTGCCACCACTTTGCTTGCCTCCTGGGGGCTCCACCCCAGAGAAATGTGGGTCAGCAATTGTGCAGTGAAATCAGCCTAGGATGGAGGGTTTGTGCTGTGGGCCCAAGCCAGGGGTTCCTTGTCTGGTGATGAGCAGCAGGGGGTGTGTAGGACCCATTGGAGACAAACTGGCCTCCTCTTCTTGGGTCAACTGCAGCTTGTTGGAGGTGTGGATAAGGCACTTAGGTAGGGTTTTTACTCCTTTGTTAGTCCAAGGTTAGCAAAGACAGGTCCACTACAGAGGCAGTGGTAGAAAGACTTTCAGTTGCCCCTGGAAACTCTGTCCAGGGAGTTGTAAAGTTGCTACTGGCTCAGTATCTCTGGCAGATGATGGCTGGAGGCCCAGGTCTGGAAGACTTGCCTGGTGATGAGATATGGAAACAGATACCAATGTAACAGGCTAGACATTTTCTTTGCCGGATTGCTGTGGTATGCTGGATGCCCACTCCAGTTGCTAGTCACCTTGGAGTTTCTGGTACCTGGAGGTATTACCACCAAAGGCTGCAAAACAGTAAAAATGGCAACCTGCCCCTCCCTCTGGGACCTCCATCCCAGGGAGGTATGGACTTTTTGCCAGCCTGAATGCATCTGAAGGAGCTGGCTGGAGACCCCAGTTGGGAGGTCACCTCCAGTGAGGAGGAATAGGATCAGAGACTTGCTTTAAAAATCAGTCTTGCCATGTTTTCATAGAGCAGCTCTGCTGTGCTGGGTGTCTGCTTCAGCCTTTTGTCACCTCAGAATCTCAAAGCGAAAAGGGTGAAACAGCTAAGTCACCCAAAGAGCAAAGATGGAGGCCTGCCCCTCCCCTTGGGAGCTCCAACTGAGGAAGTATTCGGATCTCTGTTGGCCAAAGAACACCCTCGAGGGTGGCTGGAGGTTCTGGTTGGGAGGTCCTGCCTAGTGAGGAGGAACGGGATTGGAAACTTGTTTTAAACAGCAGTCTAGCCATGTTTTTGTATAACAGCTGTGCTGTGTTGGGTAATCCCTTTCTCCCCTGGTCAGCTTGGACTCTCCAAAACCTGAAGGCTGGAATGGTTGTCACACAAACAGCAAAGATGTCGGTTCACTTTTCTCTCTGGGAGCTCTATCCTAAGGAGGTTTCAAAACTGTTTAGCCAGATAACAGTGGTGGGGGTGGCTGGAGACCCTAGTTGGGAGGTCCCACCCAGTGAGAAGGAATGGGATCAGGGACCCATTTAAAGAAGCAGACTGGCCACATTTTCACAGAGCAGTTGTGCTGTGCTCAGGAGTCCCTTCCACCCCCGGTTGGCTTGGACTCTCCAAAGCTCGAAGGCTGAAACAGCAAAGTTGTCCAAACAGCAAAGATGGAGGTTGGCCCCTGGCCCCTCTCCACAGGAGCTCTGTCTCAGAGAGGTGTAACACTACTACCGGTGCCTGGCTGGAATTCCAAGCCACTGGGTCTTATCCTGTGAGATGCCATGGAAGTGGGGCCTGTAGACTGTTGCTGCTTGGCCCCCTGGATTCAGCCTCTTTCCTAGGGTATGTACGGGGGTCTGTTCCTGCTTTGCTTGAGTTGCAACTACTTTTTTAGGGGAGCCCAGAAAGCCCAAGTATCTAAGGCTCCTGGTCTCTGCACATGCCTGTGCAGTTGCTCTGCCTAAATTTCACTAGCTCTGTGTGTCAGACTGTAACCTTGTAGTATAGTTTGAAGTCAGGTAGCATGATGCCTCCAGCTTTGATATTTTGGCTTAGGATTGACTTGGCAATGCGGGCTCTTTTTTGGTTCCATATGAACTTTAAAGAAGTTTTTTCCAATTCTGTGAAGAAAGTCATTGGTAGCTTGATGGGGATGGCACAACCTACTCATCTGACAAAGGGCTAATATCTAGAATCTACAATGAACTCAAACAAATTTACAAGAAAAAAACAAACAACCCCATCAAAAAGTGGACGAAGGATATGAACAGACACTTCTCAAAAGAAGACATTTATGGAGCCAAAAGACACATGAAAAAATGCTCATCATCACTGGCCATCAGAGAAATGCAAATCAAAACCACAATGAGTACCATCTCACACCAGTTAGAATGGTGATCATTAAAAAGTCAGGAAACAACAGGTGCTGGAGAGGATGTGGAGAAATAGGAACACTTTTACACTGTTGGTGGGACTGTGAACTAGCTCAACCATTGTGGAAGTCGGTGTGGCGATTCCTCAGGGATCTAGAACTAGAAATACCATTTGACCCAGCCATCTCATTACTGAGTATATACCCAAAGGATTATAAATCCTGCTGCTATAAAGACACATGCACACGTACGTTTATTGCAGCACTATTCACAATAGCAAAGACTTGGAACCAACCCAAATGTCCAACAATGATAGACTGGATTAAGAAAATGTGGCACATATACACCATGGAATACTATGCAGCCATAAAAAATGATGAGTTCATGTCCTTTGTGGGGACATGGATGAAGCTGCAAACCATCATTCTCAGCAAACTATCACAAGGACAAAAAACCAAACACCGCATGTTCTCACTCATAGGTGGGAATTGAACAATCAGAATACATGGACACAGGAAGGGGAACATTACACACCGGGGACTGTGGTGGGGTGGGGGGAGTGAGGAGGGATAGCATTAGGAGATATACCTAATGCTTAATGATGAGTTAATAGGTGCAGCACACCAAAAGGGCACATGTATACATATGTAACAAACCTGCACGTTGTGCACATGTACCCTAAAACTTAAAGTATAATAATAATAAAATTTTAAAAAAGAAAAAAAAAAGAAAGTAGATCACTTGCCCCAAGCTGCCCGAGGAGGCATCTGTGCCCCTTATTTGAGGTCACAACACTGAACAGAAGGAAAGAAAGGAAGGAAACTTCTAAGGACAATGCACCACAACTCAACTTTCTTATTATTCACAATCTCACTCAATTCTGTTATAACAATAAAATCCAATCTACTTGTTGATAGTATTGTGGGATATACTAACTGTATAAAGGCATTTTCTCTACCAGGTTTACTAGTCAAGCTCTTTTCTTCTTAAATCTCATGTCTTGAGATATTGTGGGGTGCCAAATCAGTTAATTTACAAATATTTACTGGATCCACACCATATAATGTGTATCATGTTGGCAATAAATAATGTTTGTATATAAGTAATGGTAGAACAGATTCTACTAGCAGAAACAAGAAAAAGGCCCTCAAACATAGCATTAAGGAAATGTCATTCCATGCTACTGTGATCATATAATTTTTAAAGTATTTATCTCATCACAAAATAGTATGCTATCAGGGGTTCTAACAGATATTCTGGAAGAACTCAACTATGAAGCAGTAGGTGTATAATAAACTGGCTAAAGCTGAGATGTCTAGAAATCTCTTGTTCCCAATCCAGAGGATAAATTGTTGTGCATTTGACTATATATTAAACTTGTATAATAATATTTAAAAAAAAGAAAATGGACTTTGAGAATTCACTCATAATTTGGCTCCCTGTTTGTCTGTTATTGGTGTATATGAATGCTTGTGATTTTTGCACGTTGATTTTGTATCCTGAGACTTTGTTGAAGTTGCTTATCAGCTTAAGGAGATTTTGGGCTGAGATGATGGGGTTTTCTAAATATACAATCATGTCATCTGCAAACAGGGACAATTTGACTTCCTCTTTTCCTAATTGAATAGCCTGTATTTCTTTCTCCTGCCTGATTGCCCTGGCCAGAACTTCCAACACTATGTTGAATAGGAGTGGTGAGAGAGGGCATCCCTGTCTTGTGCCAGTTTTCAAAGGGAATGCTTCCAGTTTCTGCCCATTCATTATGGCATTGGCTGTGGGTTTGTCATAAATAGCTCTTATTATTTTGAGATACATCCCATGAATACCTAGTTTATTGAGAGTTTTTAGCATGAAGGGCTGTTGAATTGTGTCAAAGGCCTTTTCTGCATCTATTGAGATAATCATGTGGTTTTTGTCTTTGATTCTGTTTATATGATGGATTATGTTTATTGATTTGCATATGTTGAACCAGCCTTGTATCCCAGGGATGAAGCCAACTTGATCATGGTGGATAAGCTTTTTGATGTGCTGCTGGATTCAGTTTGCCAGGATTTTATTGAGGATTTTTGCGTCGATGTTCATCAGGGATATTGGTCTAAAATTCTCTTTTGTTTTGCTTTGTCTCTGCCATGCTTTGGAATAAGGATGATGCTGGCCTCATAAAATGAGTTAGGGAGGATTCCCTCTTTTTCTATTGATTGGAATGGTTTCAGAAGGAATGGTACCAGCTCCTCTTTGTACCTCTGGTAGAATTCGGCTGTGAATGCCTCTGGTCCTGGACTTTTTTGGGTTGGTAGCATATTCATTATTGCCTCAATTTCAGAGCCTGTTATTGGTCTATTCAGGGATTCAACTTCTTCCTGGTTTAGTCTTGGGAGGGTGTATATGTCGAGGAATTTATCCATTTTTCTAGATTTTCTAGTTTATTTGCGTTGAGGTGTTTATAGTATTCTCTGATGGTACTTTGTATTTCTGTGGGATCGGCAGCCAACAGACACATGAAAAAATACTGATCATCACTGGCCATCAGAGAAACGCAAATCAAAACCACAATGAAATACCATCTCACAACAGTTAGAATGCCAATCATTAACAAGCCAGGAAACAAAAGGTGCTGGAGAGGATGTGGAGAAATAGGAGCACTTTTACACTGTTGGTGGGACTGTAAACTAGTTCAACCATTGTGGAAGACAGTGTGGCGATTCCTCAAGGATCTAGAACTAGAAATTCCATTTGACCAAGCCATCCCATTACTGAGTATATACCCAAAGGATTATAAATCCTGCTGCTATAAAGACACATGCACACATATGTTTATTGTGACACTATTCACAATATCACAGACTTGGAACCAACCCAAATGTCCATCAATGATAGACCTGATTAAGAAAATGTGGCACATATACACCATGGAATAGTATGCAGCCATAAAAAAGGATGAGTTCATGTCCTTTGCAAGGACATGGATGAAGCTGGAAACCATCATTCTCAGCAAACTATGGCAAGGACAAAAAACTAAACACCGCATGTTCTCACTCATAGGTGGGAACTGAACAATGAGAACACTTGGACACAGCATGGGGAACATCACACACGGGGGCCTGCCGTGGGGTGGGGGGAGGGGGGAGGTGTAGCATTAGGAGATATACCTAGAGTAAATGATGAGTTAATGGGTGCAGCATACCAAAAGGGCGCATGTATACATATGTAACAAACCTGCACGTTGTGCATATGTACCCTAGAACTTAAAGTATAATAATAATAAAAAAGAAAATGGACTTTGAATCTTGACACAGTTTATAAAACAGGATTTCTGGATCTGTACTGTCCTTGGCTTGTGAAATTCTCATAGCACTGTGCTGATCAGCAAGGGGCCCAGAATTCTTCATGGTTTCTGATTCTTAAGAAAGTAAAAAAGTCAGGGATGGAAGCAAGACTTGGCACTGGATTATAAATTTGAAAGCATTCTATATATCAGGGAATGGAGGCAGCCTAATTTCTAGGATTGGAAACGTAGGGTACTTGACTGATTGAAGAGTAAGGGTTGATAGAATTGTGTGTTAGGGATTTTAAAACCTTCATTGTAAAGTGGTTGCAACCGGAATCAGTTCAAGGCTTCAGATGTCAAAAGAAAAACTGGAGGTAGGCTTGGATCATTAGACTGCAAAGCACTTTGCTGGTCCGCGTTTGAGAATCAAAATTGCCCTTTGCTAAGGATATTGTCCTGAATATCAGAGTCCATTTTTCCAAAGCTTGGCCCTGATAATGCTGTGCACATGACTATCTCGTTCTGTTTTATGAAATGCCCATATTTCCATTGTAAGGTACTGAAAGAGAAATGTGAAAAAGCAATAAGAATACTTGAAAGATAGAAACAGATTATGAACCTCCTGATGTGATCTCTTTTGAGGTGAGTGGTGGCTATTCTCAATAGGTCCTGACCCAAATTCTCAGCCCCAAGATGAAGCTCAAAATTACCTAAAGAATTGATGAAAAGCAAACATTTTCTGTAGTCCCACCTTGAGAACTGGGTTTTTTTTTTCCAAAGGGAAGGGAATAACTTTTATTGAGCTTCAGGTGAATGCCAGTTCATTCCATACACATACATTATTGCTTCTTACCCTAGAAGCAACTTATTGCTTTTCACATATTTGGGAAACAGAGACTTAGTAAGCTTCTTAGGAGATGCAGTAATGAAGTAAAACTTCCTTGCCCTTCCAGCTGGATTTTAGTCACTGGAAAGCTATTTTCTTATATATTAATCTTATAACTGGTCACTTACTGAACCTGTTTGTTGCAAACAACTGTTTAGGGGAAGCTATAATGTGATGGGGGTCTGGACGTTTCTTTGTTTGGTATAGATATCAAAACTCAATTACTTGAAATGAAAGGCCACAAATAAATGTCTTTATGCAGACAGGGGTCTTCCAGGATCATTCGGCCTTGAGGATCCACAAATAAAAAGTTGATGGGGAAGGAAGGAATGGAATATTTTTGGCCCCTCCTGAGTGTACTGCTGTTTTTATTTTACTCTCAGAGCTCAGTATGACCATTATTATTATATCTTAACAGGTCACCAAAGGGGCAGGGTGCTAATCAGTTCACCCCTCAGTCTCTTGTGTAGTGCCTGTCATGTAGAATGTGCCTCATCAATTATGTGTTGACTGCACAAACAAAAAAAAAAAACATGTCAAGGAACAATGCAGTGTTGGATGGCATAGAACCTGTGCTCGTGATTGATGTGGGAAACAGTTTATGCACCAGAGACTGGGGACAGGATGGGCCATTTGTTAAAGTTCACAAGGCACTTCAAGATCATAGTGAGTCTGGGCTGAATCTGGGAGTCAAGATCTGAGAGCATCTTCTTAAGTTATGACTGAGAGGTGCCCCATCTGGGATTTTGGTAAGACTCGTATGCTGTATCCTGGAAACTCCAAAGCCCTCAATGAGGTAGTGAGAGTGCACGAGAGGGTTGGGACTATGGGAGAAGCACTGGGATTTATCGACTGTTGGTTGTAACTAGAACAGGCCTTGGCTAGGGGGAGGGAAGAATTCCACGCTCATTTCTTGCAATTTGAAGCAATTTTATGGTAAGCCTTAAGGTTCAACAGGACCAGAGGTCAGAGGAATTTTACCTATTGGGAATAATGGTTACTTTGGAACTTGACTTGGGGACACAAACATCATTAGAGCTTAGAGAGTGGAGGTAAATGGATTCTTGCAATTCAGATGCCAATTAATATTTTTAATTTGTAACTCTTTGAAACTGTGCTTCATCCCCTCACCAATAATATTTTTTAATTGAGTCACTAAGTATTTTTTTTGTTTGTTTTTAAAACAGCAATAGAAAAGAAATTAAGAGAATAAAAGGAGTCTGAAGTAAATGCTTTTGAAAACCTGAATTAAACAAATGATTATCTAGGAAAATCTTAACACTTGAGAGTTAAAAATTCTCAGTAAATAAATTGCCCAGAATAATTTGTGGGATTTATTAAAGATCTAACTTCTCTTATCTACCAACATACCCCACCCCCTTCAGGGTTATAGCACTTTTTAAACTGGAATCTGTTAATCTGTCATCACCTCTGCTGGAAACTGAACTCCTTCCAGAGAGAAGAAAGGAGTTTATGTAGTGAGAGAGGGGCAAGCTACAAGTTCAACTCGTTACCTTTAACCTGCACATTACTGCAGGTGAGTCATACAATTGTCTCACTGAATGAAGGCAGGTGTTGGGGGTCTTTCCCAACCAGAAAGCTGTTAGCCCAGGACCTGATGCTATCTCTTGCTTGGATAAATTTCTTCAGCCACCTATATGAAGGCCCAAGTGGTTTCCATTCTGACAACCACAGTCCTATGTTACACACCTTCAATTGGCTAAATAAAAACTTATGTTTTGACTAATAGCTTCTAGCAGGGTGAAGAGGTCAAAGCAGTGAGGAGTAACTAGCCATGACTCTGAAAAATGGCAGACACTGAAGCAGAAGCACAACCAAGAGACAGAAATGTCCTGTAAATTAAGTGAGGAAAGTATTACAAGGAGGAGGAAGTGATCAATTGTGTCAAATTCTACTTTTCAGTCAAGTAAGACCAGCCTGAGAAATAATCACTAGGTTTAACAATATGCAGGTTATTTGGGGATCTTGAGCTATTTCCATGGAGTGGGGGATAAAAGCTTGACTAGGGTGGGTTCAAGAAAAAAATGAGAGTACATAAGTGAACAAATCAAGACCACATAATGATTTTTGAGGAAGTTTGGTGTACAGAGATGATGCAGTAGGTGGAGTGGGTTGTACAGTTAAGGTAGGGTGTTTTGTTTCTTTCTTGTTGGTTTTGTTGTTGTTGTTGCAAGGGAGACTTGTGGAATCTTTGTGTACTGATGGGAATCATCCAGTACATAAAGGTAAATTGATGATGTGGCAAAGAGCACAGACAGCATTGCTGGGACCATGCATTGAATAGTCAAGAAGGGGTGTAATCTAGTGGCCAACGGTAGGTATGGGTTTTCATAGGAATGTAGAGAGTTTATCCATAGTGATGAAAGGGAAAGCAGAGTATCAAGTTGCAGATGCATGGAAGTGAGAAGTTTTTAAAGGCTATTCCTTTACTTTCATGTTCTCAGTGTCATCAGTTGAGACTGTGGCTGATATGGTTTGGCTGTGTCCTTACCCAAATCTCATCTTGAATTCCCACATGTTGTGGGAGGGACCCGTTAGGAGGTAATTGAATCATGGGGGCAGTTCTTTCCTGTGCTGTTCTTCATGATAATGAATAAGTCTCACAAGATCTGATGGTTTTAAAAAGAGAAGTTTCCCTGCACAAGCTCTCTTCTCTTGTCTGCCACTATGTGAGATGTGCCTTTCATCTTCAGCTGTGATTGTGAGGCCTCCCCAGCCACAAGAAACTGTAAGTCCATTAAACCTCTTTCTGTTGTAAATTGTCCAGTCTCGGGTATGTCTTTATTAGCAGCATGAGGACAGACTAATACAGTGGGTATTCCAGTAGTAAATGGAATTCTGCAAATGATAAGGTGTGAACTGCAATGGAGTGAGTAGACAGGGGAAGTGCAGAAAGTTGCACTGCCATATACTTGACACTATTCTAGGCACAGGAGATGCAGTCATGGGAACACACATTTGGAGCATATGTTCACTCATGGGTGTTAGTTTGGTAACAAGGTGGCGTAGGAGGAAGTATGTGGTACCTGGTTCCCTTGACCGGCTTCGGGGCAAAGGATACCTATTCTGATAAAACACAGGCCTTGGCCTCCAGATAAAACAAAACTCATTCTGACTACTCCTCATCTGGAGGCATGGGGATGGAGGATGGGGAGGGGATGGTGTTGGAACACTGAGGGGCCTAGTGGCCTATTTCTCTGCAGCTGAGAGATAAGGTATTTTCCTCCTAAGAGTCAGCCCCTCTCCAACAGATACTCCACTAACCTTTGCTGTCAAATGTCTGGCTCACCCTCCTACTCTGTCTGGCTTCTGGTTGCTATGGCAATGTGTCCAGGAGCACTGCTCTCCCAGTGTAAATGAGTGGGAGCCTGTTAATGTAGACAGGGGTGCATTGTGGGACCAGGGGAAAATCCTTGAAGGCAATAATAGCCTAATACACTTAGGTACTTCAGTGACTAACAGCTTTCAAAGCCCCTCCACCAGGCATTTACACCACCACTGCCAGAAGGCAGGGGAGGTAAATTGCAAACAGGGAGCCTTAGAGCACATAGCAGAGGCTTTCATTAGTGTCATTTCCCAGAAAAATCCAGTGTGTTAGGAAGTCTTCACTTGCTCATGTTCCAAGGTAGTCTCAGTGTGCTCTCACTAGTAGTGCTCTGTCTTACAGAATTGCTGAGCACCAAGCACTATGAGAACCTTAAGTATATGCCAGGTAATTTAATAGGAACTAGGGATACTCAGTGAAAATGACATGTTCACAGGTGTGGGTTTGTCGTCATGGCAGGGTTAGCCTAAGGGCACAAGTTCTGATGTCAACCCAGACATTCATCTTTAATAGGGGACAGCCTTCCTCATTCTAACTTTTTTCTTCCATGAAGCATACAGGGGCAAAGATAAAGGTAGGGCTGAGGTTTGTCTAAAGTTCTGAGGTGCTTATTTTCCCCTTCTCTGTAGCTGAGACCCTCTTTGTCTTAACTCCATCAGTCTTGCTCAGCCATGCAAGCTTCCAGACCCATAATCAGCTTTGAGTATCAGTGTCCAGAAGCACAATGGCCTAGTCTGCCTGGTGGCTGGTTTCTATAGCAATCCTGCCAAGAGCTTTTTTCCCTAAATGAAATAAAAAGAGAGAATAAAAGAAGGGTGGGTGGCTGCCCATGTGGAGAAGGGAAAATAATTAAAATTTGAATATCCTAATTAGACTAACTGATAGACTTTTAAATTTAACAGGCCACAAATACAGGCCAAGGCAGCAGGGGAACTGACTGGGAAAAGAGAGTTTCAAACAAGTAAAAAAAAAAATGCCCTTTTTCATTTAAGAAACTTCTATGGAAAGTTGAAAGATAAGGAAATGTGTCACTAGATTAGGAGTAGGACTCAGGATGAACTCAGTAATTGGTACTGCCCATTGAAAAATCCAGACTCAAATCCATCTACTTGGAGCATGTTGGCAGGAAGGTGTCCAGAATTACTTCCCTGGGAAGAGAATGGGCCTGGTGCCCCTCCCTCTGGTCTGGTGGCTGAGGGTACATGCCAAGGTGTTGACACCCAGGCCCATAGCGCCCATGGCATCCAGGTCGGGGATAGTTTGAAGCACTCAGCTACTCTGTTGTCTACTTGTTTGTAGGTTAAGATCTGCCTCATTTTCCTTCTTTCAGCATCTCTTCTGCAGTTAACATTCTGGACTCTATAATCAGCTTAGATGTCTAATGACTCATCATGGCTTAATAGGTCCTAGCTGCTGGTTGCTATGGTGATGCAGCCAGGAGCTCTGCTCACTAAGTTAAAATAAGAGAGAACCTGAGGTGGGTAGGGGACAGTGCAGGGAGAGGGTCAAGATTGAAGGTGACAATAAGCTAATTACACTAATTGATAGCTTTTTCTAACTAAAATATCCATAAATACATGCCCCAGGACAAAGGTAGAGGGAGCTTACCTGGGAAAATAAAGTATCAAGCACAAAAGAAGAGGCTTTCGCTACAGCCATTTCCAAGAAGCAATCCAGAGGATAAGAAAAGGCTCTATCTGCTCAAGATCAGAGGATACGGGTCTTATGAACACACAGTCATGTTAGGGGATCAAGGTCCTCATTTGTGGGAGTCTAAGACTTCTCCCTTGTCAGTCATGGCTGCTTAGATGGGGAACTGAGGCTCAGAAGTGGAAAGGGACTAGAACTAAATCACATGCTAGGTTAGCAGCAGAGCTGTGAGTGGAGTTCAAGGCCCTGCATCACCATGTCAGAGCTCTCTCTCTGACTCCCATCGACCTCCAGATAGAACCCAGGATGGTCAACCCCCGCCCCCCATTTTACAGATGAAATGAATCCCAGAAAAGGGAAGAAAACTGGCCAGGGTAACACAGTTTCTTCTGAAATGAGAACACAGTTCTCCTGGCTTTTAAAGTGGATCAGGTAAATGGCCAGTCAGTCAAAAATTAGGTCAGAGACAATGGAAACAGACAAAGGAGCACCATACTTTACAGGAATTCTACACAATTTATAAGCCAGGGTAAAAAAAGATTCTCAGTGATTCTAAGTGATGGGAAGAAATGGGTGCCATTAAAAGAGAGAGAGGGGAAAAGGAACAAAGGAGAAAAAGGGACACAGAAAAGCTCCCCTGTATACGACTGTGATTTTCTTTGGAAACAGTCCCTTCCTTGAGCAACAGGTAGAAATAAGATTCAGAGGTTTTCCTCCCAGAATATCTTGCTAGAGAACCTAGGGGAGTGTGATGCTAATTTGCAGGTGTCTGAGCAGCCTCTCATCAGCGTATAGATAAAAAAAAAAATTAGTACATCAGAGTGAAGAAATGACATCCCCAATATCAGACTCTGCTTTAAGGTCAAAGCTGTTAGTGGATCCCAGCCCTTAGGATGACCTTGACAGGGCTCTGTCTAGCAGGAGTGGAGGCAGCAGGAAGAGCACTCTCTATGTGCCTGGCACTTCCATGAGGAGATTATGATTACACCTGGGAGTCAGGGGACATGATGAGAGAGAGGCATCCCCCATGCACTTTCCTGAAAGAACCTGGTTCCCCTTCCTCTGGTCTGTGGGCAAAGGATACATGGCTTCAACCATTAAGACTTTAAAGTACAGCCGGAGAAAATAATGACTGTGGTCAGTATTGACACCGAAACAGTTAAAAGCACTCGCTCCCTCCCACCGTCCGCTGACGTAGAGGGCCGGAGGTGGCGGCGGCGGCGGCGGAAGCGGCAGCGGCAGCAGCGGCGGCGGCGGCGGCAGCGGCGGCTGCTGCGGCGGCGGCCGCGGCGGCGGCGGCGGTGGCGGCGGCGGCGGCGGCGGATGCCTGCGTCCCAGGCTCGCGGGCGGCAGGCCCGGGTGAGTGCACACCCGGCGCGCGGCCGGGCTCCCGGATGTGTTACCTGGTCCCGCTGCAGCCGAGATGCCAGGGGAGCGGGGCCTTCCACACCCCTCCGTGTGTGCGTGACTTGTGCATCACGGACAATTTTGCTGAGGGAGATTTCACTATGGCGGATTATGCCTTGTTAGAAGATTGCCCTTACGTGGACGATTGTGTCTTTGCTGCTGAATTTATGACCGATGATTATGTTCGTGTGACTCAGCTTTACTGTGATGGGGTGGGTAAGCAATATAAAGATTATGTCCAAAGTGAGAGGAATTTAGAATTTGACATCTGCAGTATATGGTGTAGTAAACCAATTTCTGTCCTGCAAGATTATTGTGATGCCATTAAAATAAACATCTTCTGGCCACTTCTGTTTCAACATCAAAACAGTTCTGTAATATCACGATTGCATCCCTGTGTGGACGCCAACAATTCACGTGCTTCCGAGATAAATTTGAAGAGATTACAACATCTTGAGTTGATGGAAGATATTGTGGATTTGGCAAAGAAAGCTGCTAATGATTCACTCCTTATTGGAGGCTTATTGAGAATTGGTTATAAAATAGAAAATAAAATCTTGGCAATGGAAGAAGCTCTGAATTGGATAAAATATGCAGGCGATGTAACAATTCTAACTAAATTAGGATCAATTGACAATTGTTGGCCTATGTTAAGTATTTTCTTTACTGAATACAAGTACCACATAACTAAAATTGTAATGGAAGACTGCAATTTGCTTGAAGAACTTAAAACCCAAAGTTGTATGGATTGTATAGAGCAAGGAGAACTAATGAAAATGAAAGGAAATGAAGAGTTTTCCAAAGAAAGATTTGATATAGCTATTATCTATTACACCAGAGCCATTGAATATAGACCTGAAAACCACCTTCTTTATGGTAACCGAGCTCTTTGTTTTCTTCGTACTGGACAGTTTAGAAATGCACTTGGTGATGGAAAGAGAGCCACTATTCTGAAGAACACTTGGCCAAAGGGTCATTATCGTTATTGTGATGCTCTTTCTATGCTGGGGGAATATAACTGGGCCCTGCAAGCAAACATAACAGCTCAAAAACTCTGTAAAAATGACCCTGAGGGAATCAAGGATCTAATTCAGCAGCATGTAAAGTTACAAAAACAAATAGAAGACCTACAAGGTCGAACAGCAAATAAGAATCCAATTAAAGCCTTTTATGAAAACAGGGCCTACACACCTAGGAGTTTATCAGCACCTGTATTTAGTACTTCACTTAACTTTGTGGAGAAGGAAAGAGATTTCAGAAAAATTAATCACGAAATGGCTAACGGTGGTAATCAGAATCTAAAGGTGATGGATGAGGCATTGATGGTAGATGATTGTGACTGTCATCCTGAATTTTCACCACCATCAAGTCAGCCTCCGAAACATAAAGGAAAACAAAAATCTCGAAACAATGAATCAGAAAAGTTCAGTTCTAGTTCACAATTGACTTTACCAGCAGATTTGAAGAACATCTTGGAGAAACAGTTTTCTAAATCTTCCAGAGGTGCACACCAGGATTTTGCTAATATAATGACAATGCTGAGAAGCTTAATTCAAGATGGCTATACAGCCTTATTGGAGCAGCGTTGCCGCAGTGCCGCACATGCCTTTACAGAGTTGCTGAATGGTTTAGATCCTCAAAAAATAAAGCAATTGAATCTGGCCATGATTAACTATGTCTTGGTTGTCTATGGACTTGCCATTTCACTCCTTGGAATAGGACAGCCTGAAGAACTATCTGAAGCTGAAAACCAGTTTAAGAGGATTATTGAACACTACCACAATGAGGGACTTGATTGCTTGGCCTACTGTGGAATTGGAAAAGTATATTTGAAAAAAAACAGATTTCTAGAAGCTCTCAATCACTTTGAGAAAGCAAGAACCTTGATTTATCGTCTTCCTGGAGTGTTAACTTGGCCCACAAGTAATGTGATTATTGAAGAGTCTCAGCCAGAAAAAATAAAGATGCTGTTAGAGAAATTTGTTGAAGAATGCAAGTTCCCTCCAGTGCCAGATGCCATTTGTTGCTATCAGAAGTGCTGTGGATATTCTAAGATCCAGATATACATAACTGATCCAGACTTTAAGGGTTTTATACGCATCAGCTGTTGCCAGTACTGTAAAATAGAATTTCACATGAATTGCTGGAAGAAGTTAAAAACCACAACCTTTAATGATAAAATTGACAAGGATTTTCTACAAGGAATATGTCTTACCCCTGACTGTGAAGGTGTCATTTCTAAGATTATCATCTTCAGCAGTGGTGGTCAAGTTAAATGTGAATTTGAACACAAGGTCATAAAAGAAAAGGTTCCTCCAAGACCTATTCTGAAACAGAAATGTTCTAGCCTAGAGAAACTAAGACTGAAAGAAGACAAAAAATTGAAGAGAAAGATCCAAAAAAAAGAAGCAAAAAAATTAGCACAAGAAAGAATGGAGGAGGACTTAAGAGAAAGTAATCCACCCAAAAACGAAGAGCAGAAAGAAACTGTAGACAATGTTCAGCATTGTCAGTTCCTTGATGACAGAATTCTACAGTGTATAAAGCAGTATGCTGACAAGATTAAATCCGGCATATGGAATACAGCCACGCTTCTCAAAGAATTACTTTCTTGGAAAGTTTTGAGCACAGAGGACTATACAACCTGTTTTTCAAGCAGAAATTTTCTAAATGAAGCAGTGGACTATGTTATTCGTCACTTGATTCAAGAAAAGAACAGAGTAAAGACAAGAATATTTCTGCATGTTTTGAGTGAGCTTAAAGAAGTGGAGCCCAAATTAGCCGCCTGGATCCGAAAACTTAATAGCTTTGGCTTAGATGCCACAGGACCTTTCTTTTCTCGGTATGAAGCATCTCTTAAACAGCTTGATTTTAGCATCATGACTTTCCTCTGGAATGAGAAATATGGTCACAAACTAGACTCTATAGAAGGAAAGCAACTTGATTATTTCTTTGAGCCAACATCATCGAAGGAAGCCCGCTGTTTAATATGGCTGCTAGAAGAACACAGAGACAAGTTCCCAGCATTACATAGTGCTTTAGATGAATTCTTTGATATAATGGACAGCCGCTGTACTGTGTTAAGGAAACAAGACAGTGGCGAAGCACCGTTTAGTTCTACCAAGGTGAAAAACAAAGGCAAGAAAAAGAAACCAAAGGATTCAAAGCCTATGTTAGTTGGGTCTGGAACAACTTCAGTAACTCCAAATAATGAGATCATCACTTCAAGTGAAGACCATAGCAATCAAAATTCAGATACTGCAGGCCCATTTGCAGTGCCTGACCATCTTCGGCAAGACGTAGAAGAATTTGAAGCTCTCTATGACCAACACAGTAATGAATATGTTGTCCGCAATAAGAAGCTATGGGACATGAACCCAAAACAAAAATGTTCAACTCTATATGATTACTTCTCTCAGTTGTTGGAGGAACATGGTCCCTTGGACATGAGTCACAAGATGTTCTCTGAAGAATATGAGTTTTTCCCAGAAGAAACTCGACCAATACTAGAAAAAGCAGGAGGTTTAAAATCTTTTCTCTTGGGATGTCCCCGTTTTGTTGTGATTGACAACTGTATTGCATTGAAGAAAGTTGCATCACGGCTCAAGAAAAAAAGAAAGAAGAAAAACATTAAAACAAAAGTAGAAGACATTTCAAAAGCAGGAGAGTATTTACAAGTTAAACTACCACTTAATTCAGCTGCTAGGGAATTTAAACCAGATGTAAAGTCTAAACCAGTATCAGGTTCATCTTCAGCACCAGCTTCTGAAGATGTGAAACCCAAACCTTTGTCTGCAAATTCTCCCAAGCCAGCTTGTGAAGATGTGAAGGCCAAACCAGTATCCGATAATTCTTCTAGACAAGTTTCTGAGGATGGGAAACCCAAAGGGTTCTCTTCTAATTCTCCCAAACCAGGCTCTGAGGATGCAAATTACAAGCGAGTCTCCTCTAATTCTCCCAAACCGGTTCTTGAGGATGTGAAACCAACTTATTGGGCTCAATCCCATTTGGTCACAGGATACTGTACGTATCTTCCTTTCCAGAGATTTGATAACACCCGGACATCGCCAGCATACATAAATGTGTTACCAGGTTTGCCCCAGTACACCAGCATATATACACCCTTGGTCAGCCTTTCTCCTGAATATCAGCTACCAAGATCAGTACCAGTGGTGCCGTCTTTTGTAGCCAATGACAGAGCAGATAAAAATGCTACTGCCTATTTTGAGGGTCATCATTTGAATGCTGAGAATGCTGCTGGTCACCAGATTGCCTCCGAAACACAGATCCTTGAGGATTCTTCGTTAATATCTGTAAAGTCACAGTGCAGCACAGGTGATGCTCATACAGTCCTGAGTGAGTCTAACAGAAAAGATGGGCACTGTGGAAATTCTAACAACAAATGTGAAGTAATTCCAGAAAGCACCAGTGCAGTAACAAACATTCCACAGGTGCAGATGGTTGCCATACAGGTATCTTGGAACATAACACACCAAGAAGTCAATACTGAGCCATATAATCCTTTTGAGAAACAACAAGGGGAAATTTCACGGATTGAAAAGGAGTACCAAGTATTACAAGACCAACTTAAAGAAGCGTATGAAAATTATGAGCAGATAAAACTTAAGGGCTTAGAAGAGACCAGGGACCTGGAAGAAAAGTTGAAAAGGCACTTAGAAGAAAACAAGATATCAAAGACAGAATTAGATTGGTTGCTTCAAGATTTGGAAAGAGAAATTAAAAAATGGCAAGAGGAAAAAAAAGAAATCCAAAAAACACTAAAATCACTGAAGAAGAAAATTAAAAAGGTTTCAAATGCCAATGAAATGTATACCCAGAAAAATGATGGAAACGATAAGGAACATGAATTACATCTGGATCAGTCCCTTGAAATCAGCAACACACTTACAAACGAGAAAATGAAAATAGAAGAGTGTATAAAGAAAGGGAAAAAGGATTATGAAGAGAGTCATCAGAGAGCTGTGGCTGCAGAGGTATCCGTACTTGAAAACTGGAAGGAGAGTGAAGTGTATAAGCTACAGATCATGCAGTCACAAGCAGAAGCCTATCTGAAGAAGCTGGAGCTGATTAGCCATGATCCTGCAGCATATCCTGACATGGAGTCCGATATATGTTCATGGGAATTGTTTCTTTCTAATGTTACAAAAGAAACTGAGAAAGCAAAGTATCAGTTTGAAGAACAAATTAAGGCAATTAAAAATGGTTCTCGGCTCAGTGAACTTTCTAAAGTGCAGATTTCTGAGCTTTCATTTCCTGCCTGTAACACGGTTCATCCTGAGTTACTCCCTGAGTCTTCAGGCCATGATGACCAAGGGTTTATGACTTCCGCAAGCGATGTGACTGGAAACCAAGCAGCACTTCACAGGGATCCCAGTGTGTTCTCTGCCGGCGATTCCCCAGGGGAGGCTCCTTCTGCACTGTTGCCAGGGCCACCCCCCTCTCAGCCTGAAGCCACTCAGCTGCCAGGGCCAAAAGGGGCTGGCCAGGCAGCTCTGTCAGAGCAAAGCCCTGCGGCTGATCAGAAGCAGCCTGTTCCTCCAGGGTGTGCTGCATGTTCAAGCCAGTCTCCAAAAAAGCCATTCAATAGTATTATTGAGCACCTGTCAGTGGTATTCCCATGTTACAACAGCACTGAGCTTGCTGGTTTTATTAAAAAAGTGAGAAGCAAAAACAAGAACTCACTTTCAGGATTGAGTATTGATGAAATTGTCCAAAGAGTGACAGAACACATTCTAGATGAACAGAAAAAGAAAAAGCCAAACCCAGGAAAGGACAAGAGGACTTATGAGCCCAGCTCTGCCGCCCACGTGACCAGGTCCTCCCAGGGCCCACCCTTGGCGGTTGTTGCACCATCACCCAAAACCAAGGGGCAGAAAGCAGAAGATGTCCCTGTGAGGGTTGCACTGGGTGCAAGTTCCTGTGAAATATGTCACGAGGTGTTCAAATCAAAAAACGTGCGTGTGCTCAAATGTGGGCACAAGTATCACAAAGGGTGTTTTAAGCAGTGGCTTAAAGGGCAGAGCGCTTGCCCAGCCTGCCAGACTTGTGATCTCCTGTCAGAAGAGTAGCCTGCACCTTCTGGAAGAGGCTGGCCCAGTGAGAATCGGGAGCCGCCTTCCTGCTCCTCTAGGTAGTCACACTTCACTAAAGCGTCATCCGCCAGCGTGTTGAATCGGAAGAATGACAATTTCCTACCATTGGTGTAAAAAGCAAACATCTGAAGACCCTTGTGCATTGTGTGTTACAAAGCTAAATCCATGGAAATCGTTAATATCATTGATATTAAGTAATTTCCCCACTCTGAGTGAATACTTTGATGATGGCCAAGCAGTGGCTAACAAAATGATGGCTACCACACTCATGGGTCGCTTGGGCTGTGCAGGGCTCTTTGAGGTGGGTAGTTTCTTTTGGAAAGTACTGTGAGCGCCTCAAAGCAGTATTCTAGTGATAAGAATTCTTAACATATTCGGCCGGGCGCGGTGGCTCACGCCTGTAATCCCAGTACTTTGGGAGGCCGAGGCGGGCGGATCACCTGAGATCAGGAGTTTGAGACCAGCCTCAACATGGAGAAACCCCGTCTCTACTAAAAACACAAAATTAGCCAGGCATGGTGGTGCATGCCCATAATCCCAGCTACTCAGGAGGCTGAGGCAGGAGAATTGCTTGAACCTCGGAGGCGCAGGTTGTGGTGAGCCGAGATTGCGCCATTGCACGCCAGCCTGGGCAACAAGAGCGAAACTCTGTCTCAAAAAAAAAAAGAATTTTTAACATATTCAAGCGCCCCATGTTTGTTCCCCTTTTGTGTTTGAAAAACCTGTTCAGTAGCTCCGCAAGAGAGATGATACTGACTTTTAAAATTTTTCACAAGAGTCTGTATTCCTGAAAATATGCCTATATTTTTCCTCAAAGATTCTGCATTTTAAGAATGGGCATAAGCAAACTACATTTTAATAATTTATAGTTAATGTTAAAATATTGGCTGATTGAGACCAAAAGATTCAAATCTCCTCTTTGTGAAATCCCAGCTGCATTTCATTTTTTATTATTTTATGTTCCCCTCAATAGATTGTTTTAAGTGTTTACTTTTCATCTTTTATAGATGTAATCTGATTTTCAAAAATCGATAACAGTTTTTAATTAGTATTGACTAAGACTTTTTCCCCCTGGAATCGAGGCTCTGTGTCCGTCATCCCAGCCCCCAGTTGGAGACTGCTCTTTGAACTCTGCTGCCCTCCTCAGCAGCTTCTGTCCTCTTCTGTGAGTCAGTCAGCAAGTTCTTGGGATCCGCATCCAGCCGTGCTGAGCACACAACAGGCTGTGTATGGAAATGGCCACCATCATTCTCCTTCCCGACCCCACCACAAAAAGAGAAGCTGTGTCTTTAGACAACCCTGAGCTGTCTGTGTTACAATCATTCTGTGTTTGACATTTGTGTAAAGTAATGCATGCAATCTTGTACTGTGGCCTAAGAACAAAACTGTAACTGCATTTGAAACCATGAAAAAATTAGATATTGTTTTGTGACTTTTAGACAGTGATAAATGTAGAACCATGAATTCTGGACACATTCCATTTCTCTCCAACATGAAGGATCAAAAAATGTTTTTCAATGTGTTCTTTGTTCCACTGTAAACTTAGAGTCATGAGATTATGAGCTGATTTGGTCACCTTCCTCTGCCTTTGTTCACCGTGAGTTCTGATGTCTTAGTGACTTAGTTCAAAGAAGCTTACGTCTTAGTTTGAAACAGGTTCTCCACGGTGGTCCCCAAAACATTCTCTGCATATCCATAAGAATTGAGCGCTATGGGTGTTAACATGCAGAAAGATCAGTTTGCAGCAGCAAGTACAAAAGGAGAATAGGAATATCTGTCGAATGAGTGTGTTTTGTACATAACTTCAGATACTTGTGAACATGCCTTATATTTGTCCAACAACTGTCAGAATAAAGAACATTCTAAAACGAGCAAAAAAAAAAAAAAAAAAAAAAAAAAGAAAGAAAAAAGAAAGAGTTAAAAGCAAAAGGTGATAAGTTACCAGAGGTGCCCTGTAAAGAACTTTGCTGATGTGTGCAAAGGACCAGAAGGTTTACAATGATTACTTTAATAAAAATATTGGGAACATTTGAGGTTGGGAAAATCATGGAAACTGGTTCAGATTGAGGAGACTTAGAGTCAGCCAGAAAAATGATGGCCACAGAAAAGAAGAGACATAATGCAGGAAGGACTCTGCAAGGATTAGCTGAATATAGATATCTGGAGGGGTGGGGATAGCTGGAAGAAGGCCCTATGTGGATAACTGCAAGAGGGTTGGGGCTGTTAACAGAGAATGAAAAGGGTAAAAAAGAGAGGAGGAAGAAAAAGAGAGGAAGAAGGTAAAATAGAGAGAAAAAAAGATTAAGACAAAGACACAAAGATAATGATGAAGAAGAAATAAAGGATAAGGAGAAAGGAGAAGGAGATGGAGGTGAATGAAGAAAGAAGAGAAATGAAGGTTAGGAAAGTAGACAGAACCTTGTCCGTCACTGTGATACTTGTTTGAAAAATACCAGACACACAGCACAGTCTACTTTCACAGCAGCTAGGGCTAATCTACAGCTGTATATGTGTGTGCACACACATATGCACACTTCCATAGAAACGTGGTTGACACCCTGGATGTTACTTCTGTAGTTGAAAACAGACCCCTTCCCTCCATCCCTTGATCCCTACTTCTGCTCCAGTTATAGCCTCTTTCTAGAAATCTTTCTGGGTTTCTGGCCTATCCTCCTCCTGGTGGGCAGTACTGTTCCTTTTGCACACAAAGCAGAGCCATCGTGGAAAGGCAGTTCTGGAGAGCCCCATGAACAGGTGTGCAAACCAGGACCAGACAGATCTGGAAAAAGCAGACAGCTAGAGGTTGGTGCAAGGGGTACAGGCAGGTAAGCAGGGATGATCCACCAGACCAAAGGCAGGAGCTGCCTTCCCCTTTTTACTTCAGCATGGCTCAATAGCCTCACTCTTCAAAACCAGAAACAAATTGTCCATTTCAGGCCTTTCTTTTGGGAGGTATGATAAGAAAACAGCCAAGACCATGGTGACAGGAGATCCTCTTTCTCTCTAACTTGCAAATAGGGAAGAGATAGACATAGTCCATATGAGGCAGGACAATATGTTTAAGTGAGAACTTATGAGAAACAGTCCCACATTGCCTTTAAAATTCTGACAAAAAGTTGTCCCATAGGCCTCTGTGTTCACATGTGATAGTCTACCTTTCTCTTGGGAGGCCCTTGGGGGCCTTCAGTTGTCTGTAAATCAGAATTTCGGAGAACATCGGCTACCCTTAGAAAAGTCAGTGAGGTTTTGGTGCACTGAGTGTTCATTCATGAAGGACGGTTTGCTCTCACAATCTGGACCTTAATCTCCTTATTCTGGTTCCTAGGAAGGCATGGAGGAAACTCTCCTGCAGGCATCCCCAGTGGGGTATCTGCCCTATCTATTTCAAGAGTGAGGCCAATGGAAGGTTTTCTCTCATGCAGGGTGTAGAGTTGGAAGACCACACAGGGGCAGGTGTGAGATCATCTTGTAAGAAAACAAGCTTCTCCCTTGTCACCTGGAGAAACTTTTGCAAATCAATTTGCCATCTATTAATTTGCCATCACACTTCATATAAAAAAAGCATCTTCTGTGGGTTAATAGGGCATCAGTGGGCATCATTAGAGAGAAGTTGGGTGTGTGAGTAGCACTCATGAACCCAGGACTATCTCTGTATAGAACACAAGAAGTAATTTGTTAGCAAAACCTTTTGCAGCATCTTGTAACAGAGAGCAATGATAGTGCAAGATGGAAAATCCAGGAAAAGCAGTTTCACATGGTTCAGAGACAAGCACAAAGAAAATTAACACAGGAGTAGCATTCAGCACATTTAAAGAAAAAAAAAATGAACTATGTGGCTCTAAGGTAATCAAACCTATATCATCTGAGAAGCTACTTGCCCATTAGCTACTTAGCAGCCTTCTTGGTTATCAAATCAACAGATCAAAAAAAGATGAACTTCCAGTTCCAAAATGGCAGGATAGAAGCAAGCTGGCTTCACTCACCCTCCCTCCCTGAGAAAACCTAAATCAAACGTACAGTGTTGAGATTGTCACCAGCAATATCTGAGAACTCAAATATGAAGGTTAGGCAGTTCCAGGGGCACAGAGAAGTAAAAAAAAAAAAAATCCAAGCAGACAGAGATTTGGATTTCTATGTCTGCAACACATCAACCACAATCTGCCCTGCACCAATGATGCAGAAAAATTTCCCCAGACTTATGTGTTCTACACTGGAATACCTGAGATTGAGGCAGACAACCAGCTCCTCCACCATCTTGAGTTCTTGGCAGGAGAACCGTCCCTGCCTTAACCCACAGGATGCATCATGAGTGCCCATAAAAAGAAATCTCCCTGAGGACAGCCAGGCACAAAGGGTGGAAGTGGGACATTATCACCCACAGCCCTGAGAACTCTGCTGTGTTACTCAGACAAAAAGGACACCATTCAGAGTGGCTATTCAGCAGCACTATGCTGTAAGTGGTTCATTCCACAGGCCCACTCGGCACAACCCCCAGCCAGCCTTCCCACACTATCAGGTTATCCCATTTAGAACCTCCACCACTGGGGATGAGCAGTGCTGGGATCTGTTATGAAAGCTTAGGCAAACCTGGGCTTAAGGCATCATGTAGTGCCAAAAAGGAGGTAGTAACCCAGTGGTGGGGTGGGGGAGGGGCAGGTGTACAGAGAAAGAAATTGAAAAACTAAAACGAATCTCTAGCAAACAAATGCAATAAAAACCAAAACAAGCCAGACAGAGACGACTGGCATAAATAACTAATCTATCAATGCAAAGAAATAAACGTACATTCACAGGAAACAAAAGAAAACAGGGAACTGTGACCTCCACAGTCAAAGCAAGGATCTGGTGACTGACCTTAATGTGAGCTCTCCGACCAAAAATTCAAAATAGCAGTTTGAAGGAAACTCGATAATCTTCAAGATAATACAGAAAAGCAATTCAGAAACTTAGGAGAAAAATTTGACAAAGAAATTGAAATCATTTTTTAAAAATCAAATAAATTGTTGAACTATGGAATGCATTTGCTGACCTGAAAAATTCACTAGAGGTTCTTAACTGCAGAACGGATCATGCAGAGAAAGAAATCAGTGAGCTAAAACCACCTATTTGAAAATACAGTCTGAGGAAAAAAAAGTAATTAAAAAATGAAGGTGTGCTGCTGTCATGGAAAGGAACGGAAAAAGTGAGTAAATACAGCACCTTTAACTGAAATATCCAGGTACATGCATTGGAACTAATCAAGGAAATAACTCAACTCACGAAGAACAGAGAAATGTAAGGCAGGCCAATTCCCCACCTGGGAGTGACACAGAGCCAGGAGAACCTCCCCTGCCTAGGGAAGCAGTGAGTGATTGAGAAACCCTGGGAACCCACGCTTCTTTGCAACTTCTAGTTCAGGAGATTCCCTAATGAACCCACTCTGCCAGGGCCTTCAGTCATAGCTATGTGGAATCTTGGCAGAGCAGCCACTCAGGCACATGCAGAGCCCCAAGAACCTTAGATACCCATGCTTCCCAGCAAAAGCAACTTAACTCTGGCATAGACCCCCATACATATATACCCTTAGAAAAGGGGTTGAATCCAGGGGGCTGAGCAGAGATTTTCTGCAGGTCCTGTTTTCATGGCACCTCACAGGATAAAACCCATTGGCTTGGAACCCCAGCCAGCCACCACCCTGAGTTCACAAAGGGCACTATCATGGCTGGGCCAAAATGATTGCTGATGATAAGCCAGACGCAATGGTATGCGGGACCTACCATCACTGTTAGGTGGGACCAGGCACTGTATCTCTGTAGGGCCATCACCCGGAATATTTCAGTCCACTATGTGCATTTTTCTGAGCCAGACAGATTTGCGCCGGTTTTACACCTCCCTGAGACACATCTCCCAGGGGGAGGAGTGGGAAACCATCTTTGCTGCTTCACAGCCTTAGCGAGTGCCCTAGGGCTCTAGGGAGTCTGAGTCAAATAGGGACTGGAGCGATCCTCTGGCACAGCCAAGAGGCTAAATAGAGAAGCAGTCAGACTGCTTATTCACGTAGGTCTCAAATCCTGTTTCTCTCCACTGGGAAAAATCCGTGATTGGGGTCTCCAGTCACCCCTGCTGGTGTTATGTGGCCATCAGCGGTTTTAAACCTCCCTGGAATGGAGCTCCCAGAAGGAGGAATAGGCTGCCATCTCTTCTGTTTGGCCACCTTAGCCATTCTTGCCTTCGGGCTTTGGAGCATCTGAGACAACTGGGGGCTAGAGCAGACCCCCAGCACAGCACAGCTACCCTATGAAAATGTGGCCAGACTGCTTCTTAAAAGCAGGTCTCAAATCCCATTCATCCTCAATGGGTGGGACCTCCCAACCAGGATTATAGCTACCCTGGAGATGTTTTCCAGCCAGCAGCAGTTCAAACTTCCCTGGGATAGAGCCCCCAGAGGGAGGGGAAGGCCACCATCTTTGCTGTTTGGCAGCCTTAGCTGTTCTTGCCTCTGAGCTTTGAAAAGTCCAAGGTCACTGGTCACTGGGAGCTAATGCAGACCCCTAGCACAGCACATCTGCTGTATGAAAATGTGACCAGATTGCTTTTTAAAGTGGGTCCCCGATCCTATTCCTCTTCACTGGGGGGGACCTCCCAACCACAGTATCCAGCTGCTCTCACCAGTGTTTTCCAGCCAACAGCAGTTCCAAACCTTCCTGGGAAGAAGCTCCCAGAGAAAAGTTTGGGCCACCAACTTTGCTGTTTGGCAGCCTTAGCTGTTCTTGCCTGTGGGCCTTGGAGAGTCCGAGGTGACTAAGGGATTGAGTGGATTCCTACCACAGAACAGCTGCTTTATGAAAAAATGGCCAGACTGCTTTTTTAAGTGGGTCCCTGATCCTGTTACTCTTCACTGGGTGATATTTCCTGAACAAGGTCTCCAGCTACTTCCTGCAGGTGCGTTCAGGCTGGCAACAGAGCCGTACCTCACTGGGATGGAGCTCCCAGAGGAAGGAACAGGCTGCCATCTTTACTGTTTGGCAGCCTTCACTGTTGCCACCTTCAGGTACTGGAAAATCCAAGGTGACCGGGGACTGGAGTGGACCCCCATTATACTGCAGCATTCCTATGGAGAAGTGGACAGACACTTTGTTACATGGGTCCCTGATCCTGTATCTCTTCATTCAACTGGTCCTCCTGGCCTGGGTCTCCAGCCAACTGCCACCAGAGCTATTGAGCCAGCAGCAATTCTGCAACTTCCCAAGACAGAACTCCCAGTGAGAGGGACTGGTTGCCATCTTTGTGATCTCACAACCCTCAACCTTGCTGTCTCCAGGCTCTGAAAATTCTTCAGGGACCAGAGGCTGGTGAAGACCCCCAGTACAGAGCATCCACTTCATGGAAAAAAGGCCAGACTCTTCTTTATGCAGGTCCTGATCCACACTTCTCCTTACTGGGAAGGAATGCTCAATCTGGGACTCCAGCATAACCACCCTGCCCCCACCTGATCAGTTCGATCAGAGGCAGCCCAGAAGTAAAAGGAACAACCACATGCAGAGAGGAGAAAGAACTAATGAAAGAACTCTGGCAACTCAAATGGTCAGAGTGTCTTATGTCCTCCAAACAACTACACTAGTTCACCAACAAAGGTTCTTAATCAGCCTAAGTTGGCTGAAATGACAGAAATAAAATTCAAAATATGGATAAAAATGAAGATCATTGAAATTCATGAGAATGGCAAAACCTAGTCCAAGGAAACTAAGAATCAAAATAAGAAGATACAGGAGCTGACAGATTAAATAGCCAGTATAAAAAAGAAACTGATCTGATAGAGCTCAAAAACACACTACAAAAATTGCACAATGTAATCACAATTATTAACAGCAGAATATACCAAGCTGAGGAAAGAATCTCAGAACCTGAAGACTGGCTTTTGGAAATAGGACTGTCAGACAAAAATAAAGAAAAGGAATGAAAAGCAATGAATGAACCTCTGAAAAATATATGATTATATAAAGATGCCAAATATTAAAATTATTGACATCATAGAAAGGGGTGAGTAGAAAGGAAACAACTTAGAAAACATATTTCAAGATATCATCCATGAGAATTTCCCCAACTTCGCTAGAGAGACCAATAGTAAAATTCAGGAAATACAGAGAACCCCTGCAAGATTTTATGCAAAAAGATAATCTCCAAGACACAGAGTCATCAAATTTTCCAAGGTTGAAATGAAAGAAGTAATGTTAAAGGCAGCTAGAAGTAAAGGCCAAGTCACCTACAAAGGGAACCTCATTGAGCTAACAGTGGACCTCTCAGCAGAAATTCTACAAGCCAGAAGAGATTGGGAGCCTATATTACATTCTTAAAGAAAAATGTTTCAACCAAGAATTTTATAACCAGTCAAACTAAGCTTCCTCAGCAAAGCAGAAATGATATCCTTTTCAGATAAGCAAACACTCAGAGAGTTTGTTATCATCAGCCCTGCCAGATGAGAGATCATGAAAGGAGCACTAAATATGAAAAGGAGACCATTACCAGCCAATACTAAAACATACTTAAGTACACCAACCAGTGACACTCTACAGCAAGCACACAAATAAGTCAGCACAATAGCCAGCTAAAAACACAATGACAGTATCAAATCCACACATATAAATACTAACTTTGAATGTAAATGGGCTAAGTGCCCCATTTAAGAGGCACAGAGTGGAAATCTGTGTAATAAAAGCAAGACTTAATGTTATGCTCTTCAAAACACCCATCGCACATGCAGTGACACTTATAGGCTCAAAATACAGGGATGGAGGAAAATCTACCAAGCAAATGGGTAACAGAAAAAATCAGGGGTTGTAATCCAAATTTCAGACAAAACAGACTTTAAACCAACAAAGATCAAAAAAGACAAAAAGGGGCATTATATAATGATAAAACGTTCAATTTAACATGAAAACCTAACAATCCTAAGTATATATGCAGCAAACACAGGAGTACCCAGATTGATAAGGCAAGTTCTCAGAGACCTATGAAGAGACTTAGATTCCCACATAATAATTGGCGGAGACTTCAAAATTCCACTGACAGTATTAGATCATCAAGGCAGAAAATTAACAAAGGTATTTAGGACCTCAGCTCAACATTGGACCACATGGATTTGATAAACCTCTGTAGAACTCTCCACCCCCAAAACAAGAAAATATACATTCTTCTCATTGCCACATGGCATATACTCTAAAATCAACCACACTATTGGACATAAAACACCCCTCAGCAAAAGTAGAAGAACTAAAATCATACCAACCACTCTCTCTGATCACAGTGCAATAAAAATAGAAAAGAAAACAAAAAATCGCTCAGAACTATACAATTATATCAAAATTAACCTGCTCCTGAATGATTTGGGGGTAAATAATGAAATTAAGGCATAAACCAAGGAGCTCTTTAAAACTAATGAGAACATAGAACACACCAGAATCTCTGGGACACAAGTAATGCAGTGTAAGAGAAAAAAAAAAGTGCTAAATGCTCATTTCAAAAAGTTAGAAAGATCTCAAATTAATGACCAAACATCAGAACAACAACAACAACAACAACAACAACAAAAACTAAAGGTGCAAACCAATCCTAAAGCTATCTGAGGATAAGAAATAATCAAAATCAGAGCTAAATGAAAGAAAATCAAGACTCTCCAAATTTTAAAAAAATCAGTGAATGCAGGAGTTGATTTCTTGAAAAAAAATAATGCAATAGACAGGCTTCTAGCTAGACTAATAAAACAGAAAAGAGAGAATTTCCAAATAAACACAACCAGAAATGACAAAGGGGATGTGACCATTGATCCTGTAGAAATACAATTAATCATCAGAGACTACTAAGAACACCTCTGTGCACACAAATTAGAAAACCTAGAAGATACGGATAAATTCCTGGCTACAGCCATGCTCCAAGCATAAGCCAATGAGAAATTGAATCCCTGATCAGACCAATAGTGGGACCTGAAATCGAATCAGTAATAAATAGCCTACAAACCACAAAAAAGCCCAGGACCAGATGGATTCACAGCCAAATTCTACAAGATAACAAAAAAGAGCTGGTACATTTTCTACTGAATATATTCCCTCAAAAAATGAGGAGGAGGGACTACTCCCCAACTCATTCTATAAAGCCACCATCATCCTCATACCAAAACCTGGCAGAGAGACACATACACAAAAACCTCAGGCCAATATTCTTGATGAACATTTATGTAAAAATCTTCAACAAAATTCTTGCAAACAAAATCCAGCAACACATCAAAAAGCTAATCCACTACGACCAACTTGGGATTTAATCCTGGGATGCAACATTGGTTTCACATACAAAAATCAATACATGTGATTCATCATATAAACAGAATAAAGACAAAAAACACATGATTATCTCAATAGATGCAGGAAAAACTTTGGATAAAATTCAACAGCCCTTCATGTTAAAAACGCTCAATAGCTAAGGTATTGAAGGAACATACCTCAAAATAATAAGAGCTATTTATGACAGACCCACCATGATTGTGAGTTTCCTGTGGCCTCTCCAGAAGCTGAGCAGATAGTCAGCATAATGCTTCCCATACAGCCTGCAGAACCATGAGCCCATTAAATCTATATTCTTTAAAAATTGCCCAGTCTCAGGCATTTCATTATAGCAATATGAGAATGGACTAATACAGAAAATTGGTAATGAGGGGTGGGGCATTCCTATAAAGATACCTGGAAATGTTGAAGCAGCTTTGGAATTGGATAACAGGCAGAGTTAAAAAGAGTGGAATGCTCAGAAGAGGACAGGAAGATGAGGGAAAATTTGGAACTTTCTAGAGACTTGTTGAATGGCTGTGACCAAAATGCTGATAGTGATATGGACAGTAAAAGCCAGGTAAGAGGGGTCTCAGATGGAGACAAAAAACTTATTGGGAACTGGAAGAAAGGTAACTTTTGTTATGCATTACCAAAAAGGTTGGAGACATTGTGCTCATGCCTTAGGAATCTGTGGAAATTTGAACTTGAGAGTGATAATTTAAGGTATCTAGTGAAAAAAATGTCTAAGCAGCAAAGCTTTCAAGTTGTGGCCTGGCTGCTTCTAATAACCTATGCTCATATATGTGAACAAAGAAATGAAATGAACAAAAGCCCATTTTCAAGGGAAGAATTGAGGCTGGCTACAAAAACTTGCATAACTAAAAAGATGGCAAATGCTAATAGCCAAGAAAATGGAGAATGGGCCTTGAAGGAATTTCAGAGATGTTCATGGAAACCCCTCCTATTACAGGCCAAAAGGCATAGGAAGGAAGAATTCTTTCATGGCCAGGCTCAGGGCCCTACCATCCTGAACAGCCTTGGGGCACTGCTCCCTGTGTCCCAGCCATTCCAGCTCCAGCTATGGCTAAAAGGGCCCAAGACGCAGCTCAAGACACTGCTTCTGAGGGTGCAAGCAATAAGCCTTGGTGGTTTCCACATGGTCTTAAGCCTGCAGGTGCACAGAGTGTAAGAGTTGAGGCTTGGGAGCCTCCACCTAGATTTGAGAGGATGTATGAAAATGCCTGAATGTCCAGGCAGAAGCTTGCTGCAGGGATAGAGCCCTCATGGAAAATCTCTACTAAGGCAGTGTGGGGTAGAAATGTGGGGTTTGTGCCCCCACACAGATTTTAACTGAGGCACTCCCTAGTGGAGCTATGAGAATAGGGACACTATCCTCCAGAGCCCAGAATGGTAGACCCACCGAAAGCTTGTGTCATGCACCTGGAAAAGCTGCAGGAACTCAATACCAGTTCATTAAAGCAGCCATAGAAGCTGTACCCTGCAAAGCCTCATGGGTGGAGCTGCTCAAAGCCTTGGGAGCCCACCTCTTCAACCAGTCTGCCCTGAATGTGGCACATGGAGTCAAAGGAGATTATTGTGAAGCTTTAAGATTTAACGACTGCCCTGCTGGGTTCTGTGGCTGTAAATGTTATACTTTAAACCCCCCCTTACTTTTGGCCTATTTCTTCCTTATGGAATGGGAGTATTTACCCAAAGCATGTACTCCCATTTCATTTTGGGAGTAACTATCTTGTTTTTGATTTTAGAGGCTCATAGGCAGAAGGTACTTGCCTTGTCTCAGATGTGACTTTAGACTGTGAACTTTTGAATTAATGCCGGAATGAGTTAAGACTGTGGGGTGACTATTGAAAAGGCATGACTGTATTTTAAAATTGAGAAAGACATAAGATTTGGGAGGGGCCAGGGGCAGAATAATATGGTTTGAATCTCTGTCCCTGTCCAAATCTTATGTCAAATTGTAAACCACAATGTTAGAGTTGTGGCCTGGTGGAAGGTGACTAGATCATGACGGTGGTTTCTAATGGTTTAGTACCATCCCCCAGGGCTGTTTCCATTATAGAGTTCTCATGAGATGTGTTTGTTAAAAAGTATGTAGCTCCTTCCCCTTCTTCCTCCTGCTCCAGTTATGTAAGATGATCCTGCTTCTACTTTGCCTTCCACCATAATTGTAAGTTTTAGGAGACCTTCCCAGAAGCTGAGGAAATAGCCAGCATCATTCTTCTTGTATAGCCTGCAGAACTGTGAGCCAATTAAAACTCTTTTCTTTATAAATTACCCAGTCTCAGGCATTTCTGTATAGCAATGTGAGAATGAACTAATACAACAGCTATCCAGCTAGGTGAAAGATCTCTATAATGAGAAATATAAAACCCTGCTCAATGAAATCAAAGATAATATAAACAAATGAAAAAATATTCTATGCTCACAGATAGGAAGAATAAATATCATTAAAATGGCCACACTGCCTAAAGAAATTTACAGATGCAATGCTACTCCTATAAAACTACAAATAACATTCTTTTTAGAACTAGAAAAAAACTATTTAAAAATTTAAATGAAAATGAAAATAAAAAGAGCCTGAATAGCCAAGGCAATCCTAAGCAAAGAGAGCAAACCTGGAGACATCACATTACTCAATTTCAAACTATACTGCAAGGCTACAATAATCAAATCAGCATGGTACTGGTACAAGAACAGACACATAGACCAATGGAACAAAATAGAAAGCCCAGAAGTAAGGCCACACACCTGTGATTATCCTATGTTTGACATATCTGACAAAAACAAGTAATTAGGAAGGGACTCCCTGTTCAATAAATGATGCTGAAATAACTGGCTAGCCATATGCAGAAGATTCAAATTGGACCCCTTACCTAAACCATAAACAAAAATCCACTTAAGGTAGATTAAAGACTTAAATGCAAAACCCAGAACTATGAAAATCCTGAAAGACAACCTAGGCATATGAACTGGCAAAAATGTGAACATATGAACTGGCATAAATTTTATAACCAAGATGCTGAAAACAATTGAACCAAAAGCAAAAATTTACAAATAGGTTCTAATTAAATCAAGAGAGTAAACAGAATAACTACGAAATGGGAGAAAAGTTTTGCAACTATGCATCTGACAAAGGCCTAGTATTCAACATCTATAAGAAACTTAGTTACCAAAACAACCAAAAAACCACGTTAAAAAGGGAGCAAGAGAAATAAAAAGACACTTTTCAAAAAAGGACATGAATTTGGCCAAAGAACATATGAAAAAAGCTCAGTATCACTGATTAGAGAAATTGCAAATTAAAGCCACAATAAGATACCATCTCACACTGGTCAGAATGGCTACTGTTAGTGAGTCAAAAAAAAAATTAACAGATGCTGGTTATGTTTCAGAGAAGACAGAACACTTAAACACTGTTGGTCAGAGTGTAAAATAGCTCAATTGTTGTGGAAAACAGTGTGGTGATTCCTCAAACAGCTAAGAACAGAACTACCATTCGACTCAGCAATCCCGTTACTGTTATATACTCAAAGAAATATAAATAGTTCTACCATAAAGACATATGCATGCGAATGTTCATTGCAGCACTATTCACAATAGCAAAGACATGGAATCAACCTAAATGCCCATAAATGATAGATTAGATAAAGAGAATGTGGTAAATACAGAACATAAAACACTATGCAGCCATAAAAATGAATGAGATTATGTATTTTATAGGAACATGAATGGAGCTGAAGGCCATTACCCTTAGCAAACCAATGCTAAGGAACAGAAAACCAAATACTACATGTTCTCATTTATAAGTGGGAGCTACATGATGAGAACACACGGACACAAAGAGGGGAACAAAAAACATCTGGGCCTTCCTGAGGGTGGAGGGTGAAGGATAAAGCAAGTGAGAAAAAATAACAGTTGGGTACTAGGCATAGTATCTGTGTGTCAAAATAACTTGTAGAACAAGTTCCCATGATACAAGTTTGCCTATATAACAAACCTGCACCTGTACCTCAAACTTAAAATTAAAGTTAAATAAATCTAGAGAAGGCAGAAAAAGAACAATGTAAATGCACCAAAAAAGGTACAAATATAGTAGATATTTATCAAAATATATCAATAAAACTTTAAATGTGAGTGACCAAAATATACCAATTAAAAATGGAGATTGCCAAAGTGTCCCCCTAAAAAAGCAACTACAGTCATGTGCTATATAATAACTTTTTGGTTAATGATGTGCCTAATATATGATGGTGATCTTATAAGATTATAATGGAGCTGAAATATTCCTATTGCCCAGTGACATCATAGCCAGTCTAATGTTGTAGTGCAATTACTTTATTTTTATATAAATTTAATATAACCTAAGTTAAAAATGTTTACAAAGTCTATAGTAGTGGACAGTAGTATCCTAGGCATTCACTTTCTCTAACCATTCACTCACTTACTGACTTACTCAGAGCAACTTCCAGTACTACAAGTTCCATTCATGATACATGCCTATATAGATGTATCTTTTTCATCTTTTATACCATAATTTGCTGAAGTTTTTCTATGTTTAGATACACAAAAACGTATTGTGTTACAATTGTCTACAGTATTCAGTACAGAGACAACGCACATGTCTGTAGCTGAGAGGCAATAGGCTATGCCATACATATAGTCTAGGTGTGTAGTGGGCTATATTATCTAGGATTATATAGGTATGCTCTATGATGTTCACACATGGATGAAATCACCTGACAATGCATTTATCAAAAATGTATCCCCATCATTAAATGCCTCATGTTTATATATGTAGTCTCCAAGAAATTTAATTTAAAGATTCAGACAACTTAAAAGCAAAGATATAAAGAGACACACCATATAATACTAATCAAAAGAAAACTGGAATAGCAATATTATTTTTATAGTAAGCAAATTTCAGGAATTATCAGGGATAAAGAAAAACAGAATGACAAAGGGGCCAATTCTCCAATAAGACATAACAATCGTTAAAGTGTATGCAGCTAACAAGAGAGTGTCAAACTACTTGAAGCTGAAACTAATGGAATTATATATTTCTATTACAGTTGGAGATTTCAATGACCCTCTGTTACTCACAGGTAGATCACATAGACAGAAAATCAGTAAGAGTACAGTTGACCTGAACAGCACCATCAATGATCTAACTTATCACCAATGTCAATGATCTCATTGACATTTATAGAGTGTTTCATCCCTAACCACAGAAACAATGCAAATTATTCTCAAGCTTACATAAAACATTCACCAACATAAACCACATAGGATATAAAACGTACCTTAACAAATATTAAAAAATAAATTAAACACCACACGCCTAAATTGCACATGGGTCAATTAAGGAGTCTCAAAGAAAGAGACGACCTAGCCTCCCAACCTACATCTTTCTCTGGTGCTGGGTGCTTCCTGTCTTTGAACATTAGACTCCAAGTTCTTCAGTTTTGGGACTCAGACTGGTTTTCCTTGCCCCACAGCTTGCAGACAGCATACTGTGGGACCCTGTGATCATAAGCATTTAAAAAATCAGATTGTGAGTGGCTGGCAATATGGCTGAATAGGAACAGCTCCAGTCTGCAGCTCCCAGTGATATCAACACAGAAGGTGGGTGATTTCTGCATTTACAACTGAGGTATCTGGTTCATCTCATTGGAAATGGTTAGACAGTGGGTGCAACCCATGGGGGGTGAGTGGAAGCAGGGTGGGGGGGGTCACCTTACCTGGAAAGCACAAAGAGTCAGGAAACTCCCTCCCCTAGCCAAAGGAAGCCGTGAGAGACTGTGCCGTGAGGAATGGTGCACTCTGGCCCAGATACTATGCTTTTCTCACAGTCTTTGCAACCACAGACCAAAAAATTCCCTTGGGTGTCAACGCCACCAGGACTCTGAATTTCAAGCACAAAACTGGAAAGCCATTTGGGCAGACACCGAGCTAGCTGCAGGAGATTTCTTTTCATAACCCAGTGGTGCCTGGAACACCAGCAAGACAGAACCATCCACCACAGAGCCAAGCAAGCTAAAACCCACTGGCTTAAAATTCTCACTGCCAGGACAGCAGTCTGAAGTCCACCTGGGATGCTCGAGCTTGGTAGGGGAAGAAGCATCCGCCATTAATGAGGCTTGAGTAGGCAGTTTTACCCTCACAGTGTAAGCAAAGCCCCTGGGGAACTTCGAACTGGATGGAGCTCACTGCAGCTCAGCAAAGCTGCAGTAGCCACACTGCCTCTCTGGATTCCTCCCCTCGGGGCAAGGGATCACGGAAAAAAAGGTGGCAGCCCCAGTCAGGGGCTTATAGATAAAACCCCCATCTCCCTGGTATAAAGCACTTGGGGAAAAAGGTGGCTGTGGGTGCAGATTCAGCAGACTTAAACATCCCTACCTGCCAGCTCTGAAGAGAGCAACAGACCTCCTAGAACAGTGTTAAGCTCTGCAAAGGGACAGACTCTCTCCTCAAGTGGGTCCCTGAACCCCCTGCCTCCTGACTGAGAGACACCTCCAAGCAGGGGTCGACAAACACCTCATACAGGAGAGCTCCAGCTGGGATCTGGCAGGTGCCCCTTTGGGACGAAGCTTCCAGAGGAAGGAACAGGCAGCAATCTTTGCTGTTCTGCAGTCCCTGCTGGTGATACCCAGGCAAACAGGGTCTGGAGTAGACCTCCAGCAAACTCCAGTAAACCTGCAGTAAAAGGCCTGAGTGTTAGAAGAAAAATCAACAAACAGAAAGGAATAGCATAAACATCAACAAAAAGGACGTCCACTCAGAAACCCCATCAGAAGGTCACCAACATCAAAGAACAAAGATAGATAAATCCACAAAGATGAGGAAAAAACAGCACAAAAAGGCTGAAGATTCCAAAAACCAGAACACTTCTTCTCCTCCAAAGGATCACAATTCCTCACCAGCAAGGGAACAAAACTGGAAAAAAAATGAGTGTGACAAATTGACAGAAGTAGGCTTCAGAAGGTGGGTAATAACAAACTCCTCCGAGGTAAAGGAGCTAGTTCTAACCAAATGCAAGGAAGCTAAGAACCGTGGAAAAAGGGTAGAGGAATTGCTAACTAGAATAACCAGTTTAGAGAAGTAAATAAATGACCTGATGGAGTTGAAAAACACAGCATGATAACTTTGTAAAGCATACACAAGTATCAATAGCTAAATTGATCAAGAGAAAGAAAGGATATCAGAGATTGAAGATCAACTTAATGAAATATAGCGTGAAGACAAGATTAGAGAAAAAAGAACGAAAAGGAACACACAAAGCCTCCACAAAATATGGGACTATGCAAAAAGACCAAACCAACGTTTGATTGGTATACCTGAAAGTGACAAAGAGAATGGAACCAAGTTGGAAAACACTCTTCAGGATATTATCCAGGAAAACATCCCTAACCTAGCAAGACAGGAAAACATTCAAATTCAAAAAATACAGAGAACAACACAAAGATACTCCTCGAGAAGAGCAACCACAAGACACAAATAACCAGATTCACCAAGGTTGAAATGAAGGAAAAATGTTAAGGGCAGCCAGAGAGAAAGGTCAGGTTACAGACAAAGGGAAGTCCATCAGACTAACAGTGGATCTCTCTTCAGAAACACTACAAGCCAGAAGAGAGTGAGGCCAATATTCAACATTCTTAAAAAAAAGAATTTTCAACCCAGAATTTCATATCAAGACGAACTAAGCTTCATAAGTGAAGGAGAAATAAAATCCTTTACAGACAAGCAAATGCTGAGAGATTTTGTCATCACCAGGCCTGCCTTACAAGAGCTCTTGAAGGAAGCACTGAATATGGAGAGCAACAACTGGTATCAACTACTGCAAAAACATACCAAATTATAAACAACATCGAAACTATGAAGAAACTGCATCAACTAATGGGCAAAATAACTAGCTAGCATCATAATGACAAGATCAAATTCCCACATAACAATATTAACCTTAAATGTAAATAGGCTAAATGACCCAATTAAAAGACACAGACTGGCAAATTGGATAAAGAGTCAAGGCCCATCGGTGTACTGTATTCAGGAGACCCATCTCATGTGCAAAGACACACATAGGCTAAAAATAAAGAGATGGAGGATATTTACCAAGCAAATGGAAGGCAAAAAAAGCAGGGGTTGCAATCTTGGTCTTTGATAAAACAGACTTTAAATCAACAAAGATCAAAAGAGAGAAAAAAGGCATTACATACTGGTAAAAGGATAACTGCAACAAGAGCTAACTATCTTAACTATATATGCACAACAATACAGAAGCACCCAGATTCATAAAGCAAGTTCTTAGAGACCTACAAAGAGACCTAGACTCCCACATAATAAGAGCAGAAGACTTTAACAGCCCACTGTCAATTTTAGACAGCTCGAGACAGAAAATTAACAAGTATATTCAAGACTTGAACTCAGTTCTGGAATAAGCAAAACTAATAGACATCTACAGAACTCTCCACCCCAAATCAACAGAATATGCATTCTTCTCAACATCACATCGTACTTATTGTAAAATAGACCACATAATTAAAAGTAAAACACTCCTCAGCAAATGCAAAAAATGGAAACCATAACAAACAGACCACAGTGCAATCAAATAAAAATTTGGGATTAAGAAACTCACTCAGAACCGCACAACTACATGGAAACTGAACAACCTGCTCCTGAATGACTACTGGGTAGAAAACAAAATAAAGGCAGAAACAAATAAGTTTTTGAAACCAACAAGAACAGACACAACGAGCCAAAATTCTTGGACATAGCTAAAGCAGTGTTCACAGGAAAGTTTATAGCACTAAATTCCTAGAAAAGAAAGCAGAAAATATCTACAATCGACACCCTAACATCACAATGAAAAGAACTAATGAAGCAAGAGCAAACAAATTCAAAAGCTAGCCAGAGGCAAAACATAACTAAGGTCAGAGCAGAACTGAAAAAGATAGAAATAGGGAAACCCCTTTAAAAATCAACAAATCCAGGGACTGTTTTTTTGAAAAGATCAACAAAATAGATAGACCGCTAGCCAGACTAAGAAAAAAAGAGAGAAGAATCAAATAGACACAATAAAAAACGATAAAGGGGATATCATCACTGATTCCACAGAAATACAAACTACCATCAGAGAATACTATAAACACCTCCATGCAAATAAACTAGAAAATCTAGAAGAAATGGATAAATTCCTTGACACATATACTCTTTCAAGTCTAAACCAGGAATAAGTTGAATTCCTGAATAGACCAATAACACGTTCTGAAATTGAGGCAGTAATTAATAGCCTACCAACCAAAAAAGTCCACAGCCAGACGGATTCCCAGCTGAATTCTACCAGAGGTGCAAAGAGGAGCTGGTGCCATTCTTCTGAAATCGTTCCAAACAATAAAAAAAGAGGGAATCCTCCCTAACTCATTTTATGAGACCAGCATCATCCTGATATAAAAACCTGGTAGAGGCAAAACAAAAAAAGAAAATTTCAGGCCAATATCCATGATGAACATCGATGCCAAAATCCTCAAAAAAATACTGGCAAACCAAATCCAGCATCACATCAAATAGCTTATCCACCACTATCACGTCGACTTCATCCTGGGATGCAAGGCTGATTGAACATATGCAAATCAATAAAGGTAATCCATCACATAAACAGAACCAACGAGAAAAACAACAGGATTATCTCAATAGATGCAGAAAAGACCTTTGATAAAATTCAACGCCCCTTCATGCTAAAAACTCTCAATAAACTAGGTATTGATGTAACGAATCTCAAAATAAGAAGAGCTATTTATGACAAGCCCACAGCCAATATCATACTGAATGGGCAAAAACTGGAAACATTCCCTTTAAAAACCAGCACAAGACAAAAATGCCGTCTCTCACTCCTCCTATTCAACATAGTATTGGAAGCTCTGGCCAGGTAAATCAGGCAAGATAAAGAAATAAAGCATATTCAAATAGGAAGAGAGGAAGTTAAATTGTCTCTGTTTGCAGATGACATGACTGTATATTTAGAAAACCCCAACGTCTCAGCCCAAAACCTCCTTAAGCTGATAAGCAACTTCAACAGTCTCAGGATACAAAATCAATGTGTAACAATCACAAGCATTCCTATACACCAATAATAGAGAGCCAAATCATGAGTCAACTTCCATTTAAAATTGCTACAAAGAGAATAAAATACCTAAAAATACAACTTACAAGATATGTGAAGGACCTCTTCAAGGAAAACTACAAATCACTGCTCAAGGAAATAAGAGAGGACACAAACAAATGGAGAAACATTCCATGCTAATGGATAAGAAAAATCAATATCGTGAAAATGGCCACACTGCCCAAAGTAATTTATACATTCAATGCTATCTCCATTAAGAGGGCATTGACCTTCTTCACAGAATTAGAAAAAAACTACTTTAAACTTCGTATGAAACCAAAATAGAGCCCACATAGACAAGATAATCCTAAGCAAAAAGAACAAAGATGGAGGCATCATGATAAATGACTTCAAATTATACTACAAGGTGGGGAGGTTCCAAGATGGCCAAATAGGAACAGCTCCAGTCTACAGCTCCCAGCATGAGCGATGCAGAAGACGGGTGATTTCTGCATTTCCAACTGAGGTACAATGTTCATCTCACTGGGGCCTACCAGACAGTGGGTGCAGCCCACGGAGTGTGAGACGAAGCAGGCCTCACCCAGGAAGTGCAGGGGGTCAGGGAATTCCCTTTCCTAGCCAAGGGAAGCTGTGACAGAAGGTACCTGGAAAATGGGGTCACTCCCATCCTAATACTGCACTTTTCCAGTGGTCTTAGCAAACACCACACCAGGAGATTATATCCCATGCCTGGCTTAGAGGGTCCCACACCCACAGAGCCTTGCTCACTGCTAGCACAGCAGTCTGAGATCAAACAGCAAGGTGGTAGCAAGGCTGAGGGAGGGCCATCTGCAATTGCTGAGGCTTGATTAGGTAAATAAAGTGACCAGGAAGCTCAAACTGGGTGGAGCCCACCACAGCTCAAGGAGGCCTGCCTGCCTCTGCAGACTCCACCGCTGGGGGTAGGGCATAGTTGAAGAAAAGGCATCAGAAACTTCTGCACACTTAAACATCCCTGTCTGACAGATTTGAAGAGAGTAGTGGTTCTCCAAGCACAGAGTTTAAGATCTGAGAACGGACAGACTGTCTCCTCAAGTGGGTCCCTGACACCTGAGTAGCCTAATTGGGAGACACCTCCCAGTAGAGGGCTGACTGATACCTCATACAGCCGGGTGCACCTCTGAGACAAAGCTTCCAGAGGAAGGATCAGGCAGCAACATTTGCCATTCTGCAATATTTGCTGTTCTGTAGCCTCTGCTGGTGATACCCAGGCAAACAGGGTCTGGAGTGGACCTCCAGCAAACTCCAACAGACCTGCAGCTGAGGGTCCTGACTGTTAGAAGAAAAACTAACAAACAAAAAGGACATCCACACCAAAACCCCATCTGTATGTCACCATCATCAAAGAACAAAGGTACATAAAACCACAAAGATGGGGAGAAACCAGAGCAGAAAAGCTGAAAATTTTAAAAATCAGAGCACCTCTTCTCCTCCAAAGGAACACAGCTCCTCACCAGCAATGGAACAAAGCTAGATGGAGAATGACTTTGACGAGTTGAGAGAAGAAGGTTTCAGACAATCGGTAATAACAAACTTCTCTGAGCTAAAGGAGGATGTTCAAACCCATCACAAGGAAGTTAAAAAACTTGAAAAATATTAGACGAATGGCTAACTAGAATAAACAGCATAGAGGAGAACTTATATGACCTGATGGATCTGAAAACCATGGCACAAGAACTACGTGATGCATGCACAAGCTTCAGTAGCAGATTCGATCAAGTGGAAGAAAGGGTATCAGTGATTGAAGATAAAATGAATGAAATCAAGTGAGAAGATAAGATAAGAGAAAAAAAGAGTAAAAACAAACAAACAAAGCCTCCAAAAAATATGGGACTATGTGAAAAGAGCAAATCTACATCTGATTGGTGTACCTGAAAGTGATGGGGAGAATGGAACCAAGCTGGAAAACACTCTTCAGGATATTATCCAGGAGAACTTCCCCAACCTAGAAAGGCAGGCCAATATTCAAATTCAGAAATTACAGAGAATGCCACAGAGATACTCCTCAAGGAGAGCAACTCCAAGACACATACTTGAAGGAGAAATAAAATCCTTTACAGACGGGCAAATGCTGAGACATTTTGACACCACCAGGCCTGCCTTACAAGAGGTCCTGAAGGAAGCACTAAACATAGAAAGGAACAACCGGGACCAGCCACTGTAAAAACATGCCAAATTGTAAAGAGCATTGAAGCTAGGAAGAAACTGCATCAACTAACGAGCAAAACAACCAGCTAACATCATAATGAAAGGATCAAATTCACACATAACAATATTAACCTTAAATGTAAATGGGCTAAATGTTCCAATTAAAAGACACAGACTGGAAAATTGGATAAAGAGTCAAGATCCATCAGAGTGCTGTATTCAGGAGACCCATCTCACATGCAGAGACACACATAGGCTCATCCCTGGGATGCAAGGCACGTTCATCATATGCAAATCAATAAATGTTATCCATCATGTAAACAGAACCAAAGATAAAACCACATGATTATCTCCATAGATGCAGAAAAGGCCTTTGAATCAATTCAACAGCCCCAATCCTAAAAACTCTCAATAAACTAGGTATTGATGCAATATATCTCAAAATAATAAGAGCTATTTAGCAAAAACCCACAGCCAATATCATACTGAATGGGCAAAAACTGGAAGCATTCCCTTTGAAAACTGGTGCAAGGCAAGGATACCCTCTCTCACCACTCCTATTCAACATACTGTTGGAAGTTCTGGCCAGGACAATCAGGCAGGAGAAAGAAATAAACGGTATTCAATTAGTAAAAGAGGAAGTCAAATTGTCTCTGTTTGCAGATGACATGATTGTATATTTAGAAAACCTCATCGTCTCAGCCCAAAATCTCCTTAAGCTGATAAGCAACTTCAGTAAAGTTTAAGGATACAAAATCAATGCGCAAAAATCGCAAGCATTCCTATACACCAATAACAGACAAACGGAGAGCCAAGTCATGAGTGAACTTCCATTCACAATTGCTTCAAAGAGAATAAAATACTTAGGAATTGAAATTCCAAGAGATGTAAAGGACCTCTACAAGGAGAACTACAAACCACTACTCAATGAAATAACAGAGGACACAAACCAATGGAAGAACATTCGATGCAAATGGATAGAAAGAATCAATATCGTGAAAATGGCCATACTGCCCAAGGTAATTTATAGATTCAATGCCATCCACATCAATCTACTAATGAGTTACCTCACAGAATTGGAAAAAACTCCTTTAAAGTTAACGTGGAAGAAAAAACAGCCCGCATTGCCAAGACAATCCTAAGCAAAAAGAACAAAGCTGGAGGCATCACGCTACCTGACTTCAAACTATACTACAAGGCTACAGTAACCAAAACAGCATGGTACTGGTACCAAAATAGAGATTTAGAAAAATGAAACAGAACAGAGCCCTCAGAAATAATACTACACATCTACAACCATCTGATCTTTGACAAACTTGACAAAAAGAAGAAATGGGGAAAGAATTCCCTATTTAATATATGGTGTTGGGAGAACTGGCTAGCCATATGTAGAAAGCTGAAACTGGATCCCTTCCTTACTCTTTATACAAAAATTAATTTAAGATGGATTAAAGACTTAAATGTTAGACCAAAAACCATAAAAAAACTAGAAGAAAACATGGGCAATACCATTCAGGACATAGGCATGGGCAAGGACTTCATGACTAAAACACCAAAAGCAATGGCAACAAAAGCCAAAATTGACAAATGGGATCTAATTAAACTAAAGAGCTTCTGCACAGCAAAAGAAACTACCATAAGAGTGATCAGGCAACCTACAGAATGGGAGAAAATTGTTACAATCTACACATCTGACAAAGGGCTAATATCCAGAATCTACAAAGAACTTAAACAAATTTACAAGAAAAAAATCAAACAACCCCATCAAAAAGTGGGTGAAGGATATGAACACACTCTTCTCAAAAGAAGACATTTATGAAGCCAAAAGACACATGAAAAAATGCTCATCATTACTGGCCATCAGAGAAATGCAAATCAAAACCACAATGAGATACCATCTCACACCAGTTAGAATGGCAATCATTAAAAAGTCAAGAAACAAACAGGTGCTGGAGAAAATGTGGAGAAATAGGAACACTTTTACACTGCTGGTGGTACTGTAAACTAGTTCAACCATTGTGGAAGTCAGTGTGGTGATTCCTCAAGGATCTAGAACTAGAAATATCATTTGCCCCACCCATCCCATTACTGGGTATATATCCAAAGGATTACAAATTATGCTGCTATAAAGACACATGCACATGTATGTTCATTGCAGCACTATTCACAATAACAAAGACTTGGAACCAACCCAAATATCCATCAATGACAGACTGGATTAAGAAAATGTGGCACATATACACCATGGAATACTATGCAGCCATAAAAAAGGATGAGTTGATGTCCTTTGTAGGGACATGGATGAAGCTGGAAACCACCATTCTGAGCAAACTATCGCAAGGAAAGAAAACCAAACACTGCATGTTCTCACTCATAGGTGGGAATTGAACAATGAGAACACTTGGACACAGGGCGGGGAACATCACACACTGGGGATTGTCTTGGGGTGGGGGAGGGGGGAGGGATAACATTAGGAGATATACCTAATGTAAATGAGTTAATGGGTGCAGCACACTAACATGGCCCATGTATACATATGTAACAAACCTGTATGTTGTGCACATGTACCCTAGTGCTTAAAGTATAATAATAATAATAATAATAATAATTATACTACAAGGTTACAGCAACCAAAACAGCATGGTACTGCTACCAAAACAGTTAAATAGACCAATGGAACAGAACAGAGCCCTCAGAAATAACACCACACATCTATACCAATGTGATCTTTGACAAACCTGACCAAAAAAAGCAATGGGGAAAGGATTCCCTATTAAATAAATGGTGTTGGGAAAACTGGCTAGCCATATGCAAAAAACTGAAACCGGACCCCTTCCTTACACCTTACACAAAAATTAACTCAATACAGATTAAATACTTAAACATAAACCATAAAACCATAAAAACCCTAGAAGGAAACCAAGGCAATTCCATTCAGGAGATAGGCATGAGCAAAGACTTTTCGATTAAAACACCAAAAGCAATGGCAACCAAAGCCAGAACTGACAAATGGCATCTGATTAAACTGAAGAGCTTCTGCACAGCAAAAGAAACTATCATCAGAGTGAACAGGCAAGCTACAAAATGGGAGAAAATTTTTGCAATCTACCCATCTGACAAAGGGCTAATATCCAGAATCTACAAAGAACTTAAACAAATTTACAAGAAAAAATAACCCCATTAAAAAGTGGGCAAAGGATATGAACAGACACTTCTCAAAAGAAGACATTTATGCATCCAACAAACATGAAAAAAAGCTCATCCTCACTGGTCATTAGAGAAATGCAAATCAAAACCACAACGAGATACCACCTCATGCCAGTTAAAATGGCGATCATTAAAAAGGCAGAAACAACACAAGCTGGAGTAGATGTGGAAAAATAGGAATGCTTTTACACTGCTGGTTGGAGTGTAAATTAGTTCAACCATCGTGGAAGTCTGTGGCAATTCCTCAAGAATCTAGAACCAGATATACCATTTGATGCAGGAATGCCATTACTGGGCATATACCCAAAGGATTATAAATCATTCTATTGTAAAGACACATTCACATGTATGTTTATTGTGACACTGTTCACAATAGCAAAGACTTGGAACCAACCCAGATGCCCATCAATGATAGATTGGAGTAAGAAAATGTGGCACATATACACCATGGAATACTATGCAGCCATAAAAAAGGATGAGTTCATGCCCTTTGCAGGGACGTGGATGAAGCTGGAAACCATCATTCTGAGCAAACTAACACAAGAACTGAAAACCAAACACCACAGGTTCTCACTCATTGATGGGAGTTAAACAATGAGAACACATGGACATGGGGAGGGGAACATCATACACCAGGGCCTGTTCATGGGTGGAGGGCCAGGGGAGGGATAACATTAAAAAAATATCTAATTTGGATGATGGGTTGATGGGTGCAGCAAACCAACATGGCACGTGTATATCTATGTAACAAACCTGCACGTTCTGCACATGTATTCCAGAACTTAAAGTATAATAAATAAATACATACATACATACATACATACATAATAGAAGTAACAAAGCAAAAGAAAAATATTTTGGAACTGAATAAAAATACAGCTTATTAAAATAGGTGAGATTCAGCAATGAGTTTTTTTTAAAAATTGTAGCATTAGTGCATATAATAGGAAAGAAAGTGGGATCTAAAATAAGTAATCTAAAAACAGTAGAGAGAAGAAGGCACTCTAACCATGAAGGAAGCGGAAGAAAATTAACCATAAAATGTAGGTGATAGGTGGGAAGATGGCAGACAGGAGGCAAGACCAGCTTGCAGCTCCAGCTCAGACAGACAGAGCAGCTTGTGGAGAATCACATTGTAAATTTTTGCTCCTGAACTATTGGAGGAATATACCAGGAAGGCTGAGAGACTCCACAGGCCCTCTGAAGGAAACAGATTCCTCCTGCAGCACCCAGGAGACAGCCCAGATACTGTGAGTGCCGAGATGTGACAGTGGAAAAGGGGAATTATCTGCCCCTGAACACACACTCTCGCTGGGAAACCTGAAGGTCTACATAATGAGGAAAGGATTTGACCTTACCTGAAGATGAGTCGATTTAGAGAGCCAAGCAAAATACAAGGGTAGAGGAACCAGTGGGAAAACCTGAGGGCTCTCTGGGTCCGTAGAAAAGCCATTTCTGACTTCTCTCACTGGGGTCCTTGGGGAGGGCTGCCAGAGGAACTGGGAAAAGATCAAAGGAACAAGGAAAGCTCCAGCTGAACTTTGTAACAATTCCAACTGAATGCGAAGTCTCCTGGCCAGAACATGGGGGAGGGCGTGAATCCATTGTTCATACAGGACAAGCAGGGAGGCGTAAAAGCCCTGCTTGCTTTCTCAGCTGAAAGGCTAGTAGCCTGGGAAAGTTATCAGCTCTGCTCGCCCACTGCTGGGAAACAAACTCGGTAATGTTGGGGTGGATCACGGTAGAAATGAGACGGGTCTTTCGAGTTATATGAGAGCTGAGTTAGGCCTACAACTGCCATCTTTCCCCCACTTCCCGGACAACCTGCATGCCACAGCAGAGGCAGGCATCATCCGCCTGGAAACATAACTCCATTGACCCGGGAAGCACACCCTCATCCCCCAGAGCAGCTGCAACAAGCCCCACCCAGGGAGAATCTGAGCTCAGATATAGGTAAACCTGTCCCCACCTGTGGGTGGTCCTTCCCTACCCATCCTGGTAGCTGTAGGCAAAGGTCACATTCTCTTGGGAGTTCCAGGGCACCACCCACCATCTAATTTTCCTTACACTATCACAGCTGATCTCTTTTGAAAGTGCCATGTCCTAGCAGGAGGACAACAGGCATAAAAATAGTACATTAAGCAACCAAAACTAAGGACCCTCACAGAGTCCATTTCACTCTCCTGCCACCTCCACCAGAGCAGGTGCTGTTATCCACAACTGAGAGACCTGAAGGTGGTTCACATTAGAAGACTCTGTGCAGTCAACCACCAGTACCAATCTGGAGCCTGGTAGTCCTGCTGGGTGGCTAGATCCAGAAGAGAAATAACAATCACTGCAGTTCAGCTCTCATAAAGTCACATCCCTAGGAAAAAGGGGAGAGTACTTAATCAATAAAACACCCCATGGGACACAGAAACTGGAACAGCAAATTGAGACCCAGATCTTCTCTCTGACATAGCCTACACAAATGAGAAAAGACCAGAAGAAAAATTCTGGTAACATGACAAAACAAGGTTTTTTAACACCCCAGAAAATGAACACTAGCTCACCAGAAATGGATCCAAACCAAGAGGAAATCCCTAATTTACCTGAAAAAGAATTCAGAAGGTCGATTATTAAGCTAATCAAGGAGGCACCTGAAAAAAGTGGGGTCCAATTTAAGATAATTTTTAAAAAGATGCAAGATATGAGGAGAAAACTGTTCAGCAAAATAGCATAAATTTAAAAAATCACAACTTCGGGAAATAAAAAACACACTTAGAGAAATGCAAAATATACTGAAAAGTCTCAGCAATAGAATTGAAGAAGCAGAAAAAAGAATTTCAGAGCTTGAAGACAAGGTTTTCAGTTAAATCCAATCCAACAAAGACAATAAAAAAAGAATTTAAAAAAATGAACAAAGCCCCCAAGAAGTTTGGTATTAAGTTAAACGACCAAACCTGAGAATAATTAAAGTTCCTGAGGAGGAAGAGAAATCTAAAAATTTGGAAAATATATTTGGGGGAATAATCAAGGAAAACTTCCCCAGCCTTGCTGGAGACCTAAAGATCCAAATACAAGAAGCTCAAAGAACATATGGGAAATCTTTAGCCTCCTTAAAATAAAAATTATCCACCAAGAATTTTGTATTGATTGAAAGTTAGACTCATAAATAAAGGAAACATATAGTCTTTTTCAGACAAGCAAATGGTGAGAGAATTTGTCACTACCAAACCAGCACTACACGAACTGCTAAAAGGAGCTCTAAATCTTGAAATAAAAACTGGAAACACACCAACACAGAACCTCTTTAAAGCATAAATCTCAAAGAACCTATAAAACAAAAATACGATTAAAAACAAAAAGGGTTACAGGCAATGAATAGAATGATGCATGGAATAGTACCTCACATGTCAATACTAATGTTCAATGTAAATGGCCTAAATGCTCCATTTAAAAGATGCAGAATAACAGAATGGATAATAATTCACAAGCCAATTATCTGCTGCCTTCAAGAGACTCACCTAATACATAAGGACTTTCATGAACTTAAAGGAGTGGAAAAAAACATTCAGTACAAATGAACATCAAAAGCAAGGAGCAGTAGCTACTCTCATATCAGACAAAACAAACTTTAAAGCAACAGCAGTCAAAAAAGACAAGAGACATTATGTGATGAGGAAAAGCCTCGTCCAACAGGAAAATATTAGAATTTTAAATATATATGGACATAACACAGGAGCTCCCAAATGTATAAAACAATAACTACTAGACTTAACAAATGAGATATATGGCAACATAATGACAGTGGAGAACTTCAATACTCCACTGACAGCATTAGACAGGTCACCAAAACAGAAAGTCAACAAAGAATTTATTTAAACTACAACCTAGAACAAAAAAACTTAACAGATATTTACAGAACATTCTACCCAACAACCACAGAATATGCATTCTATTCATCAGCACATGAAACTTTCTCCAAGATAGACCATATGGTAGGCCACAAGAAAAGTCTCAATAAATTTATCAGATGACCAGATTGCAAAAATTTTCTCCCATTCTGTAGGTTGCCTGTTCACTCTGATGCTAGTTTCTTTTGCTGTGCAGAAGCTCTTTAGTTTAATTAGATCCCATTTGTCAATTTTGGCTTTTGTTGCCATTGCTTTTGGTGTTTTAGTCATGAATTCCTTGCACATGCCTATGTCCTGAATGGTATTGCCTAGGTTGTCTTCTAGGGTTTTTATGGTTTTAGGTCTGACAAAGGGCTAATGTCCAGAATCTACAATGAACTCAAACAAATTTACAAGAAAAAAACAAACAACCCCATCAAAAAGTGGGTGAAGGATATGAATAGACACTTCTCAAAAGAAGACATTTATGCAGCCAAAAGACACATGAAAAAATGCTCATCATCACTGGCCATCAGAGAAATGCAAATCAAAACCACAGTGAGTACCATCTCACACCAGTTAGAATGGTGATCATTAAAAAGTCAGGAAACAACAGGTGCTGGAGAGGATGTGGAGAAATGAGAACACTTTTACACTGTTGGTGGGACTGTAAACTAGTTCACCCATTGTGGAGGTCAGTGTGGTGATTCCTCAGGGATCCAGAACTAGAAATACCATTTGACCCAGTCATCCCATTACTGGGTATATACCCAAAGGATTATAAATCATGCTGCTATAAAGACACATGCACACGTGTGTTTATTGCGGCACTACTCACAATAGCAAAGACTTGGAACCTACCCAAATGTCCAATAATGATAGACTGGATTAAGAAAATGTGGCACATATACACCATGGAATACTATGCAGCCATAAAAAAAGATGAGTTCATGTCCTTTGTAGGGACATGGATGAAGCTGGAAACCATTATTCTCAGCAAACTATCACAAGGACAAAGAACCAAACACTGCATGTTCTGACTCATAGGTGGAAATTGAACAATTAGGACACATGGACACAGGAAGGGGAACATCACACACTGGGTACTGTTGTGGGGTGGGGGGAGGTGGGAGGGATAGCATTAGGAGATATACCTAATGTTAAATGACGAGTTAAGGGGTGCAGCACACCAACATCGCACAGGTATACATATGTAACAAACCTGCACATTGTGCACATGTACCCTAAAACTTAAAGTATAATAAAAAACAATGCAAAAAATTAAAAAAATAAATTAAAAAAGGAAAAGTCTCAATAAATTAAAAAAAGTGAAATTCTATCAAGTACTCTCTCAGACCACAGGAAAATAAAATTGGAAATCAATGCAAAAAGGAACCTTCAAAACCATGCAAACACCTCGAAATTAAATAACCTGTTCCTGAATAATCACTGGGTAAACAATAAAATCAAGATGAAAATTTAAAAATTCTTTGAACTGAAATATAATAATGACACAACCTATCAAAACCTCTGGGATATGGCAAAGGCAGTGCTAAGAAAAAAGTTCATAATCTTAAATGTCTTCATCAAAAAGTCTGAAAAAAAACACAAATAGACAACCAAGAAACTAGAGCAACAAGAGGAAACCAAACACAAACCCAGCAGAAGAAAGGAAATAACAAAGAACAGAGCAGAACTAAATGAAATTAAAACAAAAAATTCAAAAGATAAATGAAACAAATTGCTGGTTCATTGAAAAGAGAAATAAAATTGATAGACCATTAGATTACCCAAGAAAAGAAGATCCAAATAAGCTCTATTAAAAATGAAATAAGAGATATTACAGCAGACACCATAGAAAAACAAAAAGATTATTCAATGGCACTGTGAAAAGCTTTATGTGCATAAATTAAAATACCTGGAGGAGATAAATAAACTCAGGGAAAGATACAACCTTCCTAACTTAAATCAGAAAAAAGAGAAAGCCTGAACAGACCAATAGCAAGCAGCAAGATTGAAATGGTAAGTTAAAAATTACCAACAACATGAAAAAAAAGTCCAGGAAAAGTCAGATTCAGAGCTGAATTTTATCAGACATTCAAAGAAGAATTGGTACTAATTCTATTGATGCTATTCCACAAAATAGAGAAAGGGGAAATCCTCCCTAAATCATTCTATGAAGCCAGTATCACCCTAATACCAAACCAGGAAAGGATATAACAAAAAAAGGAAACTACAGACCAATAACTCTGATGAACATAGATGCTAAAATTATCAACAAAATACTAGCTAACCAAGTCCAACAGCTTAACAAGTCAATAAATGTGATAAAACACCTAATCACATTTAAAAACAAAAGTCACATGAACACTAAATAGATATAGAAAAAGCATTTGACAAAATACAGCATCCCTTTATCATTAAAACCCTCAGCAAAATCAGCATGCAAGGTACATACCTCAAGGTAATAAAAGCCATCTATGACAAACCAACAGTCAACATAATACTGAATGGGGGAAAGTTGGAAGCATTCCCTCTGAGAACTAAAACAAAACAAGGATTCCCACTTTTGCCACTTCTATTAAACATAGTACTGGATGTTCTAGCCTGAGCAATCAGACAAGAAAAAGAAATCAAGGGCATCCAAATCAGTAAACAGGAAGTCAAACTGTTGCTGTTTGCTGATGATATGATTGTACAACTAAAAAAGACCCTAATGACTCATCCAAAAAGCTCCTCAAACTGATAAATGAACTCATTAAGGTCTCAGGATACAAAATTAATGTACAGAAATCAGAAGCTGTGCTATACACCAACAGCAACCAAGCTGAGAATCAAATTAAGAACTCAACCCCCTTTACAATAGCTGCAAAAACAAACAAACAAAGAAACAAACTTTGGAATATACTTAACCAAGGACGTCAAAAATCTCTCAAGGACAGTTACAAAATACTGCTGGAAGAAATCATAAATGACACAAACTAATGGAAACACATCCCATGATCATGGATGGGTAGAATCAATATCGTGAAAAGGACTATCGGGGGAACCCGCCCCCAATATTTCAGCCTAGGTTCTATTTTCCGTAAGTGTTGGCTGGCTGAGAAATAAAGAGAAAGAGTACAAAGAGAGGAATTTAACAGCTAGGGCTCTGGGGGTGACATCACATATCGGTAGGACCGTGATGCCCACATGAGCAGCAGAGTCAGCAAGTTTTTATTAAGGATTTTAAAAGGGGAGGGGGTGTACGAACAGGGAGTAGGTCACAAAGATCACATGCTTCAAAGGGCAAAAGGCAGAACAAAGATCACATGCTTCTGACGAAACAGGACAGGGGCAAAATCAGAACTACTAATAAGGGTCTATGTTCAGCTGTGCACGTATTGCCTTGATAAACATCTTAAACAAAGGAAAATAGGGTTCGAGAGCAGAGAACCAGTCTGACCCCAAATTTACCAGGGTGGAGTTTTTCCCCACCCTAATAAGCCTGAGGGTACTTCAAGAGACCAGGGCGTATTTCAGTCCTTATCTCAACCGCATGAGTCAGACACTCCCAGAGCGGCCATTTATAGATCTCCCCCAAGGAATGCATTCCTTCCCCAGGGTATTAATTATTAATATTCCTTGCTAGGAAAATAATTTAGTGATATCTTCCCTGCTTGCACGTCTGTTTATAGGCTCTCTGCAAGAAGAAAAATATGGCTCTATTTTGCCCGATCCCACAGGCAGTCAGACCTTATGGTTGTCTTCCCTTGTTCCCAGAAAGTCACTGTAATTGTTCTTTTCAAGGTGCATTGATTTCATATTGTTCAAACCCACGTTTTACAATCAATTTGTACAGTTAACACAACTATCACAATGGTCCTGAGGTGACGTACATCCTCAGCTTACAAAGAAAACAGGATTAAGAGATTAAAGTAAGACAGGCATAAGAAATTATAAAATTATTATTTGGGAACTGATAAATGTCCATGAAATCTTCACAATTTATGTTCCTCTGCCATGGCTCCAGCCAGTCCTTCCATTCAGGGTCCCTGACTTCCTGCAACAAGTGTCTATTTATGTTCTTTGTCCACTATTTAATGGGGTTGTTTGGTTTTCTTTTCTTGTAAATTTAAGTTTCTTATCGATGATGGATAGTAGACCATTGTCAGATGCATAATTTGCAAAGATTATCTCCTATTCTGTAGGTTGTCTGTTTACTCTGTTTATAGTTTCTTTTTCTCTGCAGAAGCTCTTTAATTACATGCCATTTGTGAATTTTTGCTTTTGTTGCAATAGCTTTTGGTGTCTTCATCATAAAATCCTTACCCACCCCTATGATCTAAATGGTATTGCCTAGGTTTTCTTCCAGGGTTTTTATAGTTTAAAATTTTCCATTTAAGATTTTAGTTTTGTTTGTGTTGATTTTTGTATATGGTAAAAGGTAGGGGTACAGTTTCAATTTTTTGCATATAGCTAGGTATCCCAGCACCACTAATTAAATAGAGAATCTTCAACTCGTTGCTTGTTTTTGTGAGGTTTGTTGAAGACAAGATCATTGTAGGTATGTGGTCTTTTTTCTGGATTCTGTTCTACTGGTCTATGTGTCTGTTCTTGTAGCAGTACCATGCTGTTTTGGTTACTGTAGTCCTGTAGTATAGTCTGAAGTCAGGTAGCATGATGCCTCCAGCTTTGTTCTTTTTGCCTAGGATTGCCTGGGCTATTGGGGCTCTTTTTTGGTTCCATATACATTTTAAAATATATTTGCTAGGTTTTTTTTCTTTTTTGAGATGGAGTTTCACCTTGATGACCAGGCTGTAGTGCAGTGGTGCAATCTTGGCTCACTGCAACCTCCACCTCCCAGGTTCACGCGATTCTCTTGCCTCACCCTCCCACATAGTTGGAATTACAGGTGTGCACCACAACACCTGGCTGATTTTTGTATTTTTAGTGGAGATGGGTTTTTGCCATGTTGGCCAGGCTAGACTCGAACTCCTGACCTCAGGGGATCCATCAGCCTCAGCCTCCCAGAGTGCTGGGATTACAGGCGTGAGCCACAGCATCCATTTTTTTCTAGATCTGTGATGAATGTTAATGTTACTTTAATAGAAATAGCATCAAATTTATAAATTGCTTTGGGCAGTATAACCATTTTAACAATATTGATTTTTTAAATTTATGAGCATGGAATGTTTTTCCATTTGTTTGTGTCACCTCTGATTTTTTTGAGGAGTGGTTTGTAATTTTCGTTGTATAGATCCTTCACATGACTTGTTAGCCATATTTTTGGTTATTTTATTCTTTTGTGGCAATTATGAATTGAAATTTAATCATGATTTGGCTATCTGCTTGACTGTTGTTGGTGTCTAGAAATGCTAGCAATTTTTGCCCATTGATTTTGTATTGTGAGAGTTTGCTGAAGTTGCTTTTCAGCTTAAAAAGCATTTGTGCTGAGACTATTAGGTTTTCTACATATAAAAAAATGCCATCTGCAAACTAGGATAGTTTGACTTTCTCTCTTCCAATTTGAATACCCTTTATTTGTTTCTCTTTCCTGAGTGCCCTGTCCAGAACTTCCAATAGTATGTTGAGAAGGAGTGGTGAGAAAGGCAATCCTTGTCTGGTGTTGGTTTTCAAAGGAAATGATTCCAGCCTTTGCTCATTCAGTATGACATTGCCTGTGAGTTTGTCATGTGTGGCTCTTATTGTTTTGAGGTAGGTTCCTTTGTATTTATTGGGAGTTTTTAACATGAAGAAATATTGAACTTTATTGAAGGTATTTTCTGCATCTATTGAGATAATCATGTGGTTTTTGTCTTTAGATTTGTTTACGTAATGAATCACATTTTTTGATTTGTTCATGATGAACCAACATTGCATCTCAGGGATGAAGTCAACTTGATCACAGTGGATACCTTTTTGATGTGTTGCTGAATTTGGCTTGCCAGTATTTTACTGAGGATTTTTGCATAAATATTCATCAAAGATATTGGCCTGATGTTTTCTTTTCTTCTTGTATCTCTGCCAGGTTTTGGTATCAGGATAACACTGGTCTCATAGAATGAGATGGGGAGCAGTCCCACCCATTTCAATTGTTTGGAATAGTTTCAGTAGAAATGGTACCAGCTCTTCTTTGTACCTGTGGTAGAATTCAGCTGTGAATTCATCTACTCCTAGGATTTTTTTAGTTTGTAGGCTAATTATTACTGCCTCAATTTCAGAACTCACCTTCGGTCTATTCAGGGAATCAATTTCTTCCTGGTTCATCCTTGGGAGTGTGTGTGTGTCCAGAAATGTATCCATTTCCTCTAGGTTTTCTAGTTTATGTCCATAGAGTTATTTATAGTATTCTCTGATGCTTGTCTGTATTTCTGTGGAGTCAGTGGTGTTATTCCCCTAGTAATTTGGGAGTGTCTTTATTTGATTCTTCTCTCTTCTTTATTAGTCTAGCTAGTGGTCTATTTTATTAAGTTTTTCATTAAATACTTGTTTGTGTGTGTGTGTTTTTGGAGTGACTGGTAACAGTTTTTCCTTTCTGTATTTAGTGTTTCCTTCATAAGCTCTTGTAAGATACATCTGGTGGTAACGAATTCCCTCAGCATTTGCTTGTCTGAAAAGGATCTTATTTCTCCTTCACTTTTCAAGTTCAGTTTGACTGAATATGAAATTCTGGTTTGGAATTTCTTTCTTTAAGAATGTTGAATATTGGCCGCCAATCAGTTCTGCCTTTAGGGTTTCTACTGAGAAATCTCCTGTTAGTCTGATGGGCTTCGCTTTGTATGTGAACTGTTATTTTTCTCTGGCTGCCCTTAACATTTTTTATTTCATTTCAATCTTGAAGAATCTGATAATTTAATTATGTGTCTTGGGAATTATCTTCTCATGGTGTGTCTTACTGGGGTTCTCTGCATTTCCTGAATTTAAATGTTGACCTCTCCAGCTAGGTTGGGGAAGTTCTTATGGATGATATCCTGAAATATGTTTTCCAACTTGGTTCCATTCTCCACATCTCTTTCAGGTACCCCAGTAAGTCGCAGGCTTGGTCTTTTTATATAATCCCATAGTTCTCAGAGGTTTTTTCCATTCTTTTCTGTTCTTTTTTCTCTATTCTTGTCTGCCCATCTTATTTCAGAAGGATCATCTTCAAGCTCTGAGATTCTTTCCTCCTCTTGGTCTATTCTGCTATTAACACTTGTATTACATTGTAAAGTTCTTGTATTGTGTTTTTCAATTCTATCAGGTCAGTTATGTTCTTCTCTATTCTGGCTATTTGGGCTATCAAATTTTGCATTGTTTCATTATGATTTTTAGCTTATTTGCATTAGGTTACAATGTGCGCCTTTAGCTCAGTAAAGTTCATTTTTATTTACATTCTGAAGTGTACTTCTGTCATTTCAGTCATCTCAGCCTCAGCCAAGTTCCAAACCCTTACTGTAAAGGTGTTTTTGTCATTTGGAAAAAAGAGAACACTGGCTGTTTGAATTTTCAGTGTTTGTGCTGATTACTTCTCATCTTTGTAGGATTATGTACCTTTGATCTTTGAGGATGCTGACCTTTGGATGGAACTTTTGGGTTGGGGGGGTTGTTTTTCTTTTAATAGTCTTGCCCCCGTTTCATAGGGATGCTGTAGTTTGCTGTGGGTCTGCTCAAGTCCATAGTTGCCTCAGATTTTCCAGTACCTGGAGGTATCACCAGTGAAGACTGCAAAACGGCCAAGGTGGCAGCCTGGCCCTTCCTCTGGGAACTTAGTCCCAAGGCCGTACTGACCTGCTGCCAGCCCAAATGCACCTGTAGGAGGTGGCTGAAGAGCCTAGTTGGAGTTCTATCCAGTCAGTAGGAACTAGACCAGGGACTAAGTGAAAGAAGCAATCTAGCCACACTTTTGTTGAGCAGCTGTGTTATGCTGGGGTATCACTTCCACCCACAGTCAACTTGGGTTCTCTAAATCCTGAAGGCTGGCATGGATAAGTCACTGAAACATCAAAGATAGAAGCCCACCACTCTCACTAGGAGCTCTGTCCCAGAAAGATTTCATATCTTTGTCAGCAAGAGAACATTGAAGGGAGTGGCTGGAGGCTCTGGTTGTGAAGTCCTCCTCAATGAGGAGAAACAGAGCAGCAATCCATTTAAGGAAGCTGTGTGTTCACGCTTTTATAGAAAAGCTGTGATGTCTTTAATCCATCTTGAATTGATTTTTGTATAAGGTGTAAGGAAGGGATCCAGTTTCAGCTTTCTACATATGGCTAGCCAGTTTTCCCAGCACCATTTATTAAATAGGGAATCCTTTCCCCATTGCTTGTTTTTCTCAGATTTGTCAAAGATCAGATAGTTGTAGATACGTGGCATTATTTATGAGGGCTCTGTTCTGTTCCATTGATATATATCTGTTTTGGTACCAGTACCATGCTGTTTTGGTTACTGTAGCCTTGTAGTATAGTTTGAAGTCAGGTAGTGTGATGCCTCCAGCTTTGTTCTTTTGGCTCAGGATTGACTTGGCAATGCGGGCTCTTTTTTGGTTCCATATGAACTTTAAAGTAGTTTTTTCCAATACTGTGAAGAAAGTCATTGGTAGCTTGATGGGGATGGCACTGAATCTATAAATTACCTTGGGCAGTATGGCCATTTTCATGATACTGATTCTTCCTACCCATGAGCAGGGAATGTTCTTCCATTTGTTTGTATCCTTTTTTATTTCACTGAGCAGTGCTTTGTAGTTCTCCTTGAAGAGGTCCTTCACATCCCTTGTAAGTTGGATTCCTAGGTATTTTATTCTCTTTGTGGCAATTGTGAATGGGAGTTCACTCATGATTTGGTTGTTTGTCTGTTATTGGTGCATAAGAATGCTTGTGATTTTTGCACATTGATTTTGTATCCTGAGACTTTGCTGAAGTTGCTTATCAGCTTAAGGAGATTTTGGGCTGAGACAATGGTGTTTTCTAGACATACAATCATGTCATCTGCAAACAGGGACAATTTGACTTCCTCTTTTCCTAATTGAATACACTTTATTTCCTTCTCCTGCCTCATTGCCCTGGCCAGAACTTCCAACACTATGTTGAATAGGAGTGGTGAGAGGGGGCATCCCTGTCTTGTGCCAGTTTTTAAAGGGAATGCTTCCAGTTTTTGCCCATTTAGTATGATATTGGCTGTGGGTTTGTCATCGATAGCTCTTATTATTTTGAGATACGTCCCATCAATACCTAATTTATTGAGAGTTTTTAGCATGAAGTGTTGTTGAATTTTGTCAAAGGCCTTTTCTGCATCTATTGAGATAATCATGTGGTTTTTGTTTTGGTTCTGTTTATATGCTGGATTACATTTATTGATTTGCATATATTGAACCAGCCTTCCATCCCCAAAAAAACCCTAGAAGAAAATCTAGGCATTACCATTCAGGACATAGGCATGGGCAAGGACTTCCTGTCTAAAACACCAAAAGCAGTGGCAACAAAAGCCAAAATTGACAAATGGGATCTAATTCAACTAAAGAGGTTCTGCACAGCAAAAGAAACTACCATCAGAGTGAACAGGCAACCTACAAAATGGGAGAAAATTTTCACAACCTACTCATCTGACAAAGGGCTAATATCCAGAATCTACGATGAACTCAAACAAATTTACAAGAACAAAACAAACAACCCCATCAAAAAGTGGGCAAAGGACATGAACAGACACTTCTCAAAAGAAGACATTTATGCAGCCAAAAAACACACGAAAAAATGCTCACCATCACTGGCCATCAGAGAAATGCAAATCAAAACCACAATGAGATACCATCTCACACCAGTTAGAATGGCAATCATTAAAAAGTCAGGAAACAACAGGTGCTGGAGAGGATGTGGAGAAATAGGAACACTTTTACACTGTTGGTGGGACTGTAAACTAGTTCAACCATTGTGAATATTAGAGTGGCGATTCCTCAGGGATCTAGAACTAGAAATACCATTTGACCCAGCCATCCCATTACTGGGTATATACCCAAAGGACTATAAATCATGCTGCTATAAAGACACACACACACGTACGTTTATTGCAGCACTATTCACAATAGCAAAGACTTGGAACCAACCCAAATGTCCAACAATGATAGACTGGATTAAGAAAATGTGGCACATATACACCATGGAATACTATGCAGCCATAAAAAATGATGAGTTCATGTCCTTTGTAGGGACATGGATGAAATTGGAAATCATCATTCACAGTAAACTATCACAAGAACAAAAAACCAAACAGCGCATATTCTCACTCATAGGTGGGAATTGAGCAGTGAGAACACATCGACACAGGAAGGGGAACATCACACTTTGGGGACTGTTGTGGGGTGGGGGGATGGGGGAGGGAAAGCTTTAGGAGATATACCTAATGCTAAATGACGAGTTCATGGGTGCAGCACACCAGCATGGCACATGTATACATATGTAACTAACCTGCACATTGTGCACATGGACCCTAAAACTTAAAGTATAATAATAATAATAAAAAAGAAAAACTGTGATGTGCTGGGGTACCCCTTTTACCCCAGTAACCTTGGGCTCCTGAAAGCCCACAAGCTGGAATGGCTGGGTCACCGAAACAGCAAAGATGGTGGCCTATCCCTCTCCTTGGGAACTCCATACCAGGGACAATTCAAATATCTGTCAGGCCAGAGAATATGGTCGGGGATGGCTGGAGGCAAGAGTTGGGAGGTCCCGCCCAGTGAGAAGAAATGAATCAGGGTTCCATTTAAAGAAGGAGTCTGACTACATTTTGGTAAAGCAGCTGTGCTGTACTGCGCTGGGGTATCCCTTCCTTCTCCAGTTGGCTTGGGTTCCCCGAAGCCCACAGTCTAGAACAGCTGAGTCATCTAAACAGCAAAGTTGGCAGACCAATCCTCCCCTAAGCACTCCATCTCAGGGAGAAATCAAAATTCTAATGGCCGTAGAATATAAGTGGGGGTGGCTGGAGGCCCTGGTTGGGAGAAAGAATTTTATTTTTATTCCTGTGGGGTTGGTCATTATGTCACCTTTGTCATTTCTGATTTTTTTAAATTTGAATCTTCTCTCTATTTTCTTTATTAGTTTAGATAATGGCCTATCAATCTTATTTATTGTTTCAAACGGGAATTTTTGGTTTCATTTCTTTTTATGGCTTTTTACAATCAATTTTGTTCATTTCAGCTCAAATTTTGGTTATTTCTTTTCTTCTACTAGCTTTGGAGTTGGTTTGCTCTTGTTCTTCTAGTTCCTCTAGGTGTGATGTTAGGTTGTTAGTTTTATATCTTTCTAACTTTTTGATGTAGCTGCTTATTACTATAAACCTTCCTCTTTACAGTGCTTTACCTATGTTCCAAAGATTCAGGTATGTTGCTTTTTTTCCCTTAGTTTCAAATAATTTCTTGATGTCTGCCTTTATTTCATTGCTTATCCAAAACTTATTCAGGAGGAAGTTGTTTCGTTTCCATGTAATTGCATGGTTTTGAGAGATTTCTTGATTTCTTTTTTCCACAGTGGTCTGAGAATGTGGTTGGTATCACTGTGTGTTTTTTAAGATTTCTTGAGGAATTCTTTCTGGTTGTGCATGTGGTTGATCTCAGAGTATGTGCCAAATGCAGATAAGAAAGATGTATATTCTACTGTTGTTCGGTTGAGTGTTCTGTAGATGTCCATTAGGTCCATTTGGTTGAGTGGCAATTTTGGGTCCAATCTAACACTGTTATCGGGATGTTGAAATCTTCCACTATTATTGTGTGATTATCTTAGTCTCTTTTTAGGTCTCTTAGAACTTCTTTTATGAATTGGGAGCTCCAGGATTGGCTGCATATATATTTGGGGTACTTATGTCTTCTTATTGAATTGAACCCTTAATCATTATGCAATACTCTTCTATGTCCTTTTTGATCATTATTGGTAAAATTTATGTTTTGTCTGAAATAAGAATAGCAACCTTGCTCTTTTTTGTTTTCCATTTGCTTGATAGATGTTTTTCCATTCCTTTATTTGAGCCTATGTGTGTCATTACATATGTGATTGTTATCTTAAAGACAGCATATAGTTAGGTCATGCTTCCTTATCCAACTTGCCACTCTTTGCCTTTTAAGTGGGGCCAATTAGCTTGTTTATATTCAAGGTTAATATTGATATGTGATAATTTGTGTTTTTTTGTTTCATTTTGAGACAAAGTCTCACTCTGTTGTCCAGGCTGGAGTGCAGTGGTGCCATCTCAGCTCACTGCAACCTCTGACCCCCGGGTTCAAGGGATTCTTCTGCCTCAGCCTCCCGAGTAGCTGGGACTACAGGTGTGTGCCACCACGCCTGGCTAATTTTTGAATTTTTAGTAGAGACGGGGCTTCACCATATTGGCCAGGCTGGTCTTGAACTCCTGACCTTGTGATCTACCAGCCTCGGCCTCCCAAAGTGCTGGGATTACAGGTGTGAGCCACTGCACCCAGCCTTTATTATTATTATTATTATTATTATTATTATACTTTAAGTTCTAGGGTACATGTGCACAACGGGCAAGTTTGTTACATATGTATACAGGTGCCATGTTGGTGTGCTGCAGCCATTAACTCGTCATTTACATTAGGTATATCTCCTAATGCTATCCTTCCCCCCTCCTCCCACCTCATGACAGGCCTCGGTGTGTGATGTTCCCCACCCTGTGTCCAAGTGTTCTCATTGTTTGTTTGTTTTTTGAGACAGAGTCTCAGTCTGTCACCCAGGCTGGAGTGCAGGGCATTAACTCACTGCAACCTCCACCTCCTGGGTTCAAGTGATTCTCCTGCCTCAGCCTCCCAAGTAGACAGCATTATGGGCACCTGCCATGACGTCCAGCTAATTTTTGTATTTTTAGTAGAGATGGGGTTTCACCATGATGGCCAGGCTGGTCTTGAACTCCTGACCTCAGCTGATCTGCCCACCTCAGCCTCCCAAAGTGTGAGCCGCTGTGCCCAACTGATATGTGAGAATTTGATCCTGTCATCTTGTTGTTAGCTGACGTTATGTAGACCTGCTTGTAGAGTTGCTTTATAGTGTCAGTGGGATATGTATTTAAGTGTGTTTTTGTGGTTGCTGGCAATGGTCTTTCCTTTCTGTTTTTAGCACTTCCTTAAGGACCTCTTGTAAGGCAAGTCTGGAGATAACAAATTCCCTTAGTCCTTGCTTGTCTGAAAAAAATTTATTTGTCCCTCATTTATACATCTTAGTTTGGCTAGATATAAAATTCTTAGTTGAAGTTTCTTTTCTTTAAGGATGCCCAACACAGGCCCCTGATATGATTTGGCTGTGCCTTCACCCAAATCTCATCTTGAATTGTAAATCCCACAATTCCCACGTGTTGTGGGAAAGGCCAAGTGGGAGGTAATTGAATCACAGGGGAAGGTCTTTCCCATGTTTTTCTAGTAATAGTGAATATGTCTCATGAGATCTGATGGTTTTAAAAAAAGGAATTTCCTCACACAAGCTCTCTCGTCTTCTGAAATGTAAGACATGCCTTTCACCTTCTGCCATGACTGTGAGGCCTCCCCAGCCACGTGGAACTGTTAAGTCCAATGAACCTCATTCCTTTGTAAATTGCTCAGTCTCAGGTATGTCTTTATCAACAGCATGAAAATGGACTAATAAAGTAAATTGGTACCAGTAGAGTGGGGTGCTGCTGAAAAGATAACTGAAAATGTGGAAGTGACTTTGGAACTGAGTAACAGGCAGATGTTGGAATAGTTTGGTGGGCTCAGAAGACGACAAGAAAACGTAGGAAAGTTTGGAACTTCCTAGAGACTTGTTGAATGGCTTGGACCAAGATGCTGATAAAAATATGGACAATGAATTCCAGCCTAAGGTGGTCTCAGACGGAGATGAGGAACTATTTGGGAACAGGAGCAAAGGTGACACTCATTACGTTTTAGCAGAGACTGCTGGCATGTTGCCCAAACACTAGAGATATGTGGAACTTTGAACTTGAGAGAGATGATTTAGGGTGTCTAGCAGAACAAATTTCTTAGCAGAAAAGCACACAAGAGGTGACTTAGGCAGTGTTAAAGGTTAAAGGTTAAAAACAGAGCATATAAATTGAGAAAATTTGCAACCTGACAATTCAATAGAAAAGAAAATCCCATTTTCTGAGGAAAAATTCAAGCCTGCTGCAGAATTTTGCATAAATAACAAGAAGCCGAATGTTAATCACCAAGACAATGGGGAAAATGTCTCCAGGGCATGTCAGAGTCTTTTGTGGCAGTCCCTCCCATAACAGGCCCAGAGACCAAGAGGAAAAAAAATGGTTTCATGGGCTGGGCCCAGGGTCCCTCTGCTGTGTGCAGTACAGGGACTTGGTGCTCTGCATCCCAGCTGCTCCAACCTTGACTAAAAGGGGCCATGGTACAGCTCAGGCCATGGCTTCAGAGTGTGCAAGCCCCAAGCCTTCCACGTGGTGTTGAGTCTGCAGGTGCACAGAAGAATTGAAGTTGGGAACCTCTGCCTAGGTTTCAGAGGATGTATGGAAATGCCTGAATGCCCAGGCAGAAGTTTGCTGCAGGGGAGGGGCCCTCATGGAGAACCTCTGCTAGAGCAGTGTGGACGGGAAATGGGTTGGATGCCGCACACAGAGTCTCTACTGGGGCACTGCCTAGTAAAGCTGTGGGAAGTGGGCCACTGTCCTCCAGACCCCAGAATGGTAGATCCAGTGAAAGCTTGCACCATGCACCTGGAAAAGCCACAGACACTCATGCCAGCTCATGAAAGCAGCCAGGAGAGAGATTGTACCCTGCAAAGCAATAGGGGTGGAGCTGCCCAAGACCCATGAGGACCCACCTCTTGCATCAGTGTGATCTGGATGTGAGATATGAGTCAAACAAGATCATTTTGGAGCTTTAAGATTTGTCTTGTAAGCTGGATTTCAGACTTGCGTGGGGCCTGTATCCACGTTGTTTTGGCCAATTTCTCCCATTTGGAAGGGAGGTATTTACCCAGTGCCTGTAACTCCACTGTGTCTAGGAAGTAACTAACTTGCTTTTGATTCTACAGGCTCATAGGCTAAAGGGACTTGCCTTGTTTGAGATGAGACTTTGGACTGTGGACTTCTGAGTTAATGCTGAAATGAGTTAAGACTTTAGGGGACTGTTGGGAAGGCATAATTGGTTTTCAAATGTGAGGGAATGAGATATGGGAGAAGCCGGGGGTGGAATAATACAGTTTCGCTGTGCCCCCACGCAAATCTCATCTTGAATTGTAACTCCCATAATTCCCAAGTGTTGAGGGCGATAGCCAGTGGGAGGTAATTGAATCATGGCAGCAGGTTTTTCCCATGCTAGTCTTTTGATTGTGAATATGTCTCAAGAGATCTCATGGTTTTATAAAGGGGAGTTTCCTCACACAAGCTCTCGTCTGCCGCCATGTGAGATGTGCCTTTCACCTTCTGCAATGATTGTGAAACCTCCCCAGCCACGTAGAACTGTAAGTCCAATAAACACTTTTATTTTGTAAATTGCCCAGTCTCAGGTATGTCTTCATCAGCAGTGTGAAACGGACTAATACAGCCCTCAATGTCTTCTCACTTCTCAGATTACTACTTAAAGGACAACTGTTAGCCTGGTGGGGTTCCCTTTGTACACGACCTACCTTTTCTCTCTAACTGCCTTTAATGATTTTTTCTTTTGCATTGACCTTGCAGATCTGTACTATGTCTTGGGGATGGTTGTCTTGTGTATTATCTCACAGGAGTTTTCCAAATTTCCTAAATTTGCATGTCAATTTCTCTAAGAAGCATAGGAAAATTTTCATGGACAATGTCTTCAAATATGTTTTCCAAATTGCTTGCTCTCTCTCCCTCTTTTTCTGGGATGCCAATAATTTTAAACTCTGTATATAATCCCATATTTCTCAGAGGTTTTGTTCATTTATTAAAATTTTTTCTTTTTCATTTTTCTCTGAGTGGATTTGAAGAACTGGTATTCCAACTCTAAGTTTCTTTTTTCAGCTTGGCCCTTTCTGCTGTAAACTTTCAATCATATCATAAAATACTTGTAGAGAGATGTTCAGCTCTAGAAGATTAGTCTGGTTCTTTCTTAAAATGGTTATTTCATTTTTCACCTCTTGTATTATTTCACTGGATTCCTTAGATTTCCTGGATTGAGTTTCATCTTTTTCCTGAATCTTGGTGATCTCGGTTGCCATTCAGATACTGTATTCTATGTCAGTCATTTCAACAAGTTCAGTGTGGCTAACAACCATTGCTCAGGACCTGGTCTTGTTGTTTGGAGGTAAGAAGGCACTCTGAATTTTAGAGTTTCCAAAGTCCTTGCACCGGTTCTTTCTCATCTGTGGGGGCTGATGTCCCTTTAATGTTTGTAGTTTTCCTTTAAATGGGGCTTCCTGCTTTTATATTCTTTGATGACCTTGAGTGTTTGACTGTGGTATAAGTCACATTTTGTCAACTGGCTTCATTTCTGCATGATGTCAGGTTGCCAAACCTCAACTAAACACTCCTGGGGTGCATGCTCTAACCCTGTGGTGTTGGGACCAGGCCTGTGGCTTTTATTCTCTGACCCCCAAGGTTAAGTACCTGCCGTGCTGGGGGAACTGAGGTGTTTCCAGCCCACTGACAAACACACTCTGGTGGAGCATATTGGCAAAAGTGGGGTGGCAGCGAGGCAGCAGTGATTCCCACATGCACACGCCAGCAACTAGTGGGCAGTGAAGTCATCACGCACATCAAAGTTGGTGAAGCAGCAGAAGGAGGCTATGCGGGAGTGCAAGCCAGGGAGTGCATGCCAGTGAGGAATGTCTGTGGGAAAGTGTGCACCAGTATGGCCCACCTGTAAAAGTACTCCAGCTAATAGGCATTATCTGCCGGCAAAAGAGTTATGGGCAGGGCTGCTGGCAACTGCCTCAGCTGAGCAGCCAAGGCCACGACTGAAAGTAGATGTGGACACGCACGTACTCTGGGATAGGCCAGCGGCAAGGGGAACATTACTCATCTCACAGGCACGATAGCCCTGCTATGTCCAGGTGCAGCAGCCAACAAAAGCTAAAGCCATTAGAAGAGTATGGCAAGCCTTCTGATGTGAGCACCCATGACCATGAACAACTGCATCCGTTCCCATGCCAAACCTTCTGGGGCACATCAGTGTGCTGTATTCAGTAAACACATCTCACGTGCAGAGACACACATAGGCTCAAAATAAAGGGATGGAGGAAGATCTACCAAGCAATGAAAAATAAAAAAAGGCAGGAATTGCAATCCAAGTCTCTGATAAAACAGACTTTAAACCAACAAAGATCAAAAGAGACAAAGAAGGCCATTACATAATGGTAAAGGGATCAATTCAACAAGAAAAGCTAACTATTCTAAATATACATGCACCCAATAAAGGAGGATCCGGATTCATAAAGCAAGTCCTTAGAGACCTACGAAGACACTTAGACTCCCACACAATAATAATGGGAGATTTTAACACCACACTGTCAACATTAGACAGATCAACGAGACAGAAAGTTAACAAGGATATCCAAGAATTGAACTCAGCTCTGCACCAAGCGGACCTAATACACATCTACAGAACTCTCCACCCCAAATCTACAGAATATATATTCTACTCAGCACCACACCACACCTATTCCAAAATTGACCACACAGTTGGAAGTAAAGCACTCCTCAGCAAACGTAAAAGAACAGAAATTATAACAAACTATCTCTCAGACCACAGTGCAATCAAACTAGAACTCAGGATTAAGAAACTCACTCAAAACCACTCAACTACATGGAAACTGAACAACCTGCTCCTGAATGACTACTGGGTACATAACAAAATGAAGGCAGAAATAAAGATGTTCTTTGAAACCAACGAGAACAAAGACACAACATACCAGAATCTCTGGGACACATTCAAAGCAGTGTGTAGAGGGAAACTTATAGCATTAAATGCCCACAAGAGAAAGCAGGAAAGATCTAAAATTGACACCCTAACATCACAATTAAAAGAACCACAGAAGCAAGAGCAAATACATACAAAAGCTAGCAGAAGGCAAGAAATAACTAAGATCAGAGCAGAACTGAAGGAAATAGAGACACAAAAAATCCTTCAGAAAATCAATGAATCCAGGAGCTGGTTTTTGAAAAGATCAACAAAATTGATAGACTGTTATCAAGACTAATAAAGAAGAAAAGAGAGAAGAATCAAATAGACACAATAAAAAATGATAAAGGGGATATCACCACTGATCCCACAGAAATACAAACCACCATCAGAGAATACTATAAACACCTCTACACAAATAAACTAGAATATCTAGAAGAAATGGATAAATTCCTCGACACATACACTCTCCCAAGTCTAAACCAGGAAGAAGTTGAATCTCTGAATAGACCAATTAACAGGCTCTGAAATTCAGGCAATAATTAATAGCTTACCAACAAAAAAAAGTCCAGGACCAGATGGATTCGCAGCTGAATTCTACCAGAGGTAAAAGAAGGAGCTGGTACCATTCCTTCTGAAACTATTCCAATCAATAGAAAAAGAGGGAATCCTCCCTAACTCATTTTATGAGGCCAGCATCATCCTGATACCAAAGCTTGGCAGAAACACAACAAAAAAAGAAAATTTTAGACCAATATCCCTGAGGAACATGGATGCAAAAATCCTCGGTAAAATACTGGCAAACTGAATCCAGCAGCACATCAAAAAGCTTATCCATCATCATCAAGTGGGGTTCATCCCTGGGATGCAAGGCTGGTTCAACATACGCAAATCAATAAACGTAATCCAGCATATAAACAGAACCAACCATAAAAACAACGTGATTATCTCAATAGATGCAGAAAAGTCCTTTGACAAAATTCAACACCCCTTCATGCTAAAAAGTCTCAATAAATTCAGAATTGATGGGACGTATCTCAAGATAATAAGAGCTATCTATGACAAACCCACAGCCAAGACCATATTGAATGGACAAAAACTAGAAGCATTCCCTTTGAAAACTGGCACAAGACAGGGATAATCTCTCTCACTACTCCTATTCAACATAGTGTTGGAAGTTCTGGCCAGGGCAATCAGGCAGGAGAAGGAAATAAAGGGTATTCAATTAGGAAAAGAGGAAGTCAAATTGTCCCTGTTTGCAGATGACTTGTTTGTATATCTAGAAAACCCCTTCATCTCAGCCCAAAATCTCCTAAAGCTGATATGAAATTTCAGCAAAGTTTCAGGATACAAAGTCAATGTGCAAAAATCACAAGCATTCTTATACACCAATAACAGACAAACAGAGAGCCAAATCATGAGTGAATTCCCATTCACAATTGCTTCAAAGAGAATAAAATACCTAGGCATCAAATTTACAAGGGACATGAAGGACCTCTTCAAGGAGAACTACAAACCACTGCTCAATGAAATAAAAGAGGATACAAACAAATGGAAGAACATTCCATGCTCATGGGTAGGAAGAATCAATATCAAGAAAATGGCCATACTGCCCAAGGTAATTTAGATTCAATGCCATCCCCATCAAGCTACCAATGACTTTCTTCACAGAATTGGAAAAAACTACTTTAAAGTTCATATGGAACCAAAAAGGAGCCCGCATCGCCAAGTCAATCCTAAGCCAGAAGAGCAAAGCTGGAGGCATCATGCTACCTGACTTCAAACTATAGTACAAGGCTACAGTAACCAAAACAGCATGGTACTGGTACCAAAACAGAGATACAAAAGAATGGAACAGAACAGAGCCCTCAGAAATAATGCCACATATCTACAACTATCTGATCTTTGACAAACCTGACAAAAACAAGAAATGGGGAAAGGATTCTCTACTTAATAAATGGTGCTGGGAAAACTGGCTAGCCATATGCACAAAGCTGAAACTGGATCCCTTCCTTACACCTTATAGAAAAATTAATTCAAGGTGGATTAAAGACTTAAATGTTAGACCTAAAACCATAAAATCCCTAGAAGAAAACCTAGGCAATACCATTCAGGACATAGGCATAGGCAAGGACTACTTGTCTAAAACACCAAAAGCAATGGCAACAAAAGCCAAAATTGACAAATAGGATCTAATTAAACTAAAGAGCTTCTGCACAGCAAAAGAAACTACCATCAGAGGGAACAGACAACCTATAGAATGGGAGAAAATTTTTGCAATCTACTCATCTGACAAAGAGCTAATATCCAGAATCTACAATGAACTCCAACAAATTTACAAGAAGAAAACAACCCCATCAAAAAGTGGGCAAAGTATATGAGCAGACACTTCTCAAAAGAAGACATTTATTCAGTCAAAGTACACATGAAAAAATGCTCATCATCACTGGCCATCAGACAACTGCAGATCAAAACCACAATGAGATACCATCTCACACCAGTTAGAATGGCAATTATTAAAAAGGAAACAAGAGGTGTTGGAGAGGACGTGGATAAATAGGAACACTTTTACACTCTTGGTGGTACTGTAAACTAGTTCAACCATTGCGGAAGTCAGTGTGGCGATTCCTCGGGGATCTAGGACTAGAAATACCATTTGACCCAGCTATCCCATTACTGGGTATATACCCAAAGGATTATAAAACATGCTGCTATAAAGACACATGCACACGTATGTTTATTGCAGCACTATCCACAATAACAAAGACTTGGAACCAACCCAAATGTCCAGCAATGATAGACTGGATTAAGAAAATGTGGCACATATACACCATGGAATACTATGCAGCCATAAAAAAGGATGAGTTCATGTCCTTTGTAGGGACATGGATGAAGCTGCAAACCATCATTCTCAGCAAACTATTGCAAGGACAAAGAAGCAAACACCGCATGTTCTCACTCATAGGTGGGAATTGAACAATGAGAACACATGGACACAGGAAGGGGAACATCACACACCGGGCCCTGTTGTGGGGTGAGGGGAGGGTGCAGGGATAGCATTAGGAGATATACCTAATGTTAAATGATGAGTTAATGGGTGCAGCACACCAACATGGTACATGTATTCATATGAAACAAACCTGCACGTTCTGCGCATGTACCCTAAAACTTAAAGTATAAAAAAAAAATCCTTCTGGGGTCCATGTAGACAGGAGTTCTGTCTCGGCCAACTCTCTGGGCAGTTCTTTTTGCCATCTCAAATATCCATGGTGACTGTGTGGTTTCCTGCAGCTAGGATTCTGGGAGTCCGTGGTGAGAGTAGGCCATTCCACATCCATCTCACCCACCCTTTTCTAGGAGTCATTAAGAGCTGGACATGTGTCCCTGTGCTCAGTAACCCCATGCAGGGTTCCAGGCTTCTTCCCCTTGCATCCAAGGGTCTGCATCCTCCCACCATCCACTCTCAATGCCTTCTTCCAAAGATCTATTTGGAATGTGGTGGTCTTCTTGATGATCTAGACTGTCAGTGGGGAACCTCTTCCTTGTTGCATCTAGTTGGCCACTTTGGTTCCCTCTCTAGATTCTTACAATTCAAATTTATTTCACTGATCTTAAATATTTCTCGTTTTTTAATATAGGCATGAAAGCTATACATTTCTTTTAAAAAACTCATTGTTTCATCTATCAAATTTTGATATGCTGTGTTTTCATTATATTTCTGCTCTATGAAGGATACTTGAGAAAAAAATAAGCCACATACTAGGAGAAAACCATTGCAAAACACTTATATAGTATCTAAAATATACAAATAGTTTTTAGAAGTGAAGAATAATAAAACAACCCAATTTTAAAATGGGGTGGAGACCTAAATAAATATCTCAATAAAGAAGATATACAGATGACAAATAAGCATATAAAACAGATGATCAATCTTACATGTAATTTTGGAACTGAAAATCAAAACAATTAGATTCCATTACACACTTATTAGACTGGTTAAAATCCATAACAATAAAATATCAAATAGTAGCTAGAATGTGGATAACTGGAAGTCTCATTTATTGCTGGTGGAAATGTAAAATGTTATGGTCACTTCAGAAGACATTTTGGTAGTTTCTTACAAAACTATACATATCCTTAACACAGAATCTAGCAATCACACTCCTTAGTATGTACCTAAATGAGCTAAAACTTTATGTCCACATAAAACCCTGCACATGAATGTTTATAGGAGCTTTATTCATTATTGCTAAAACATGGACGCAACCTAAATATCCTTCAGTAGGTGAAGGGATAAACTGTAGTACATCAATACAATGGAATATTATTAAGCAATAAAAAATTTACCACTAAGCCACAAAATGACATGAATGAACCTTAAATAAATATTGTTACAAGAAAGAGGCCAGCCTGAAAAGGCTATACATTGTATGATTCTAAAAATATTTCATTTTGAAAAAGGAAAAACCATAGAGACAATAACAGTATTGTCTTTCAACAGCTCAGGCATAGGTGAAAGAAATAATTAGGTGTCACACAAGGAATTTTAGGCCAGCGAAACTATTCTGTAAGATACTTTAATGACAGATACATGTCACACATTTGTGAAAACCTGTAAAATGTACAATACACAGATTGAGCCCTAATGTAAACTATGTACTTTAGTTAATAATAATGTATCAATATTGGCTCACAAAATTTAAGAAATGTGCCACACTAATGCAAAAATGTTAATAATAGAGGAACACACAAATAACATAATGCTCAATGGTGAAAGACACATTCCTATAAGATCAGGAACAAGACAAGGATGCACACTTTTGCCATTTCTATTCAACACAGTATTGGGGGTTACAGCCCTAGCAATTAGGCAAGAAAAAGGACATTTAAAAGACCCATATTGGAAAAAATAAGCAGAATTATCTCTTTAGTATATAACATAATCTTATATGTAGAACACCCCAAAGATTCCACAAAAACATGTTTGAACTAATAAATTCAGAAAATTTGGAGTAATCATTTGCATTTCTATATATTTTCATTCTCTGAAAAGAAAATAAAGAAAACAACTCTATTTACAGTAGCATTCAAAAAATAAAATACTTAGGGATAACAATAAAAAGGTGGACTTGTACACTAAAAAAAATAAAAATTTGTGAAAAAAATTAAAGCAGATATAATCAAATAGAGAGATATTCCATGTCCACAAATGAGAAGAATCAATATTGTTAAGATGTCAATATTACCTGAAGTCATCTATAGATTAAATGAAATCTTCATCAAATTTCCAAAGCAATTTTTGCAGCAGTACAAACAACCATCCTAAAATTCATATAAAATCTCAAGGGATTCCAAAATAGCTGGAACAATCTTTAACAAGAAGAATAAAGTTGGAATACTCTTGCATCCTGATTTCAAAACTTACCACAAAGGTACAGTAATGAAACCAATGTGGTATGGCCATAAATGACATAAATAGAGCAATAAAATAGAGTAGAAATAAGCCATTGCACATATAGACAAATGATTTTTAACAATGGTCCCAAGACAATGCAGTGGTAAGTAAGCACCATTTAACAAATGATGCTGGAAAACTGGATACATAAATGTAAAAGAAAAAATTTGAATCTTACATTACACCACATACAAAAATGAACTCAAAATTGATCAAAGACATAAGAGCTAAAGCTATATAACTCTTAGAAGGAAACACAGGAAAAAAGGCGTTATGACGTTTGACTTGGAGATGATTTCTTGAACATGACACCAAAAGCATGGATAGCAAAAAAAAAAGTTGAACTGTATAAAAATTAAAAAGTTTTATGTATCAAGAGACACTATCAATATAGTAAAATGAAACAGTTTGAAGATTTCTCAAAATCTAAAAATAAAATTACCATTCAACACAGCAATCCCATTACTGGGTATATACAAAAAAGAAAATAAATCTTTCTTCAAAAAGATACCTGCATTCATATGTTTATTGCAGGACTATTCACAATGGCAAAGCCATGGAATCAACCTAGAGCCCATCGACGATGGACTGAATAAAGAAAACATGGTACATATGCGCCATTGAATACTACACATACATAAAAAAAATCATGTCCTTTGCACAACATGGATGCAGCTATAGGCCATTATCCTAAGCAAAGTAATGCAAAAACAGAAAACAAAGTAACACATGTTCTCACTTATAAGTAGAAGCTAAATATTGGGCATACATGGACACAAACATGGAAACAATAAACACTGGGGATTCCAAAAGAGGGAAAGTATAAGAGGGGGCAAGGGTTGAAAAACTACCTATCAGGTACTGTGTTCATTACTTGGGCCACTGGCTCATTAGAAGCCCAAACCTCAGTATCACACAATATACCCATGTAACAAACCTGCACATGTACTCCATGAATCAGCAATTTAAAATATACTAAAATAACATCCCACAGAATGGGTGAAAATATTTGGAAATAATATATATGTATATATATAATGTCTTAGTCTGTTCCAGCCTCTATGACAAAATACCATAAACTGGGTAGTTTATAAAAAACATAAATTTATTTCTCACAGTTCTGGAGCCTGGGAAGTTCAGAATCAAGGTGCCAGCAGATTTGGTGTGTGGTGAGGGCTTGCTTCCCAACAGACAGCACCTTCTTGCTGTGTCCTCACATGGCGAAAAGGGCAAATAAGCTCCATCAAGCCTCTTTTATAGAAGCACTAATCCTTTTCAAGAGGGTTCTGCCTTAATGATCTAATCACCTCCCAAAGGCTTTACCTGTTAATGGTACCACCTTGGGGGTTAGAATTTCAACATCTGGATATAGGAGCCAAGATGGCCAAATAGGAACAGCTCCAGTCTACAGATCCCAGCGTGAGCTACAGAGAAGACGGGTGATTTCTGCATTTCCAAGTGAGGTACCAGGTTCATCTCACTGGGGAGTATCCAACAGTGGGTGCAGGACAGTGAGTGCAGCACACGGAGCATGAGCTGAAGCACAGCAAGGCATCACCTCACACAGGAAGCACAAGAGGTCAGGGAATTCCCTTTCCTAGACAAAGAAAGGGGTGACAAACGGCACCTGGAAAATCAGGTCACTCCCACCCTAATACCACACTTTTCCAATGGTCTTAGCAAACAGCACACCAGGAGATTATATGCTGTGCATGGCTCAGAGGATCCTACGCCCATGGAGCCTCACTCATTGCTAGCACAGCAGTCTGAGATCAAACTGCAAGGTGGCAGTGAGGCTGGGGGAGGGGCGCCTGCCATTGCCGAGGCTTGAGTAGGTAAACAAAGTGGCCTGGAAGCTTGAACTGGGTGGATCCCACTGCAGCTCGAGGAGGCCTGCCTGCCTCTGTAGACTCCACCTCTGGGGGCAGGGCATAGCCAAACAAAAGGCAACAGAAAACTCTGCAGACTTAAATGTCCCTGTCTGACAGCTTTGAAGAGAGCAGTGGTTCTCCCAGCACACAGCTGGAGATGTGAGAATGGACAGACTGCCTCCTCAAGTGGATCCCTGAACCCCGAGTAGCCTAACTAGGAGGCACCGACCAGTAGGGGCAGACTGACACCTCACACGGCCAGGTACTCTTTGGAGACAAAACATCCAGAGGAACGATCAGGCAGCAACATTTGCTGTTCACTAATATCTGCTGTTCTGCAGGCTCTGCTGCTGATATTCATGCAAACAGGGTCTGGAGTGGACCTCCAGCAAACTTCAACAGACCCGCAGCTGAGGGTCCTGACTGTTAGAAGGAAAACTAACAAAAAGAAAGGATATCCACACCAAAACCCCATCTGTACGTCACCATCATCAAAGATCATCAAAGTAGATAAAACCAAAAAGATGGGCAAAAAACAGAGCAGAAAAATTGGAAACTCTAAAAATCAGAGTGCCTCTCCTCCTCCAAAGCAACAAAGCTCCTCAACAGCAACGGAAGAAAGCTGGATGGAGAATGGCTTTGATGAGTTGAGAGAAGAAGGCTTCAGAAGATCAAACTACTCCTAGCTAAAGGAGGAAGTTCAAACCCATGGCAAAGAATTTGAAAACCTTGAAAAACAATTAGACGAAAGTCTAACTAGAATAACCAATGCAGAGAAGTCCTTAAAGGACCTGATGGACCTGAAAACCATGGCACGAGAACCACGTGATGAATGCACAAGCCTCAGTAGCTGATTCGATCAAAGGGAAGAAAGGGTATTAGTGATGGAAAATGAAATGAATGAAATGAAGTGAGAAGAGAAGATTAGAGAAAAAAGAATAAAAAGAAACGAACAAAGCCTCCAAGAAATATGGGACTATGTGAAAAGACCAAATCTATGTCTGATTGGTGAACCTGAAAGTGATGGGGAGAATGGAATCAAGTTGGAAAACACTCTGCAGGACATTATCCAGGAGAACTTCCCCAATCTAGCAAGGCAGGCCGACATTCAAATTCAGGAAATACAGAGAATGCCACAAAGATACTCCTTGAGAAGAGCAACTCCAAGACACATAATTGTCAGATTCATCAAAGTTGAAATGAAGGAAAAAATGTTAAGGGCAGCCAGAGAGAAAGGTCGGGTCACCCACAAAGGGAAGTCCATCAGAGTAACAGCGGATCTATCAGCAGAAACTCTACAAGCCAGAAGAGAGTGGGGGCCAATATGCAACATTCTTAAAGAAAAGAATTTTCAACCCAGAATTTCATATCCAGCCAAACTAAGCTTCATAAGTGAAGGAGAAATAAAATACTTTACAGACAAGCAAATGCTGAGAGATTTTGTCACCACCAGGCCTGCCCTAAAAGAGCTCCTGAAGGAAGGACTAAACATGGAAAGGAACAACCGGTACCAGCCACTGCAAAAACATGCCAAATTGTAAAGACCATCGAGGCTAGGAAGAAACTGCATGAACTAAGGAGCAAAATAACCAGCTAACATCGTAATGACAGGATCAAATTCACACATAACAATATTAACCTTAAATGTAAGTGGGCTAAATGCTCCAATTAGAAGACACAGACTGGCAAATTGGATAAAAAGTGAAGACCCAACAGTGTGCTGTATTCGGGAAACCCATGTCACGTGCAGAGACACACATAGCCTCAAAATAAAGGGATGGACGAAGATCTACCACGCAAATGGAAAACAAAAAGAGGCAGGGGTTTCAATCTTAGTCTCTCATAAAACAGACTTTAAACCCACAAAGATCAAAAGAGACCAAGGAGGCCATTACATAATGGTAAAGGGATCAATTCAACAAGAAGAGATTACAATCCTAACTATATATGCACCCAATACAGGAGCATCTGGATTCATAAAGCAAGTCCTTAGAGACTTACAAAGAGACTTAGACCCCCACGAAATAATAATGGGAGACTTTAACACCCCACTGTCAACATTAGACAGATCAACGAGACAGAAAGTTAACAAGCACATCCAGGAAATGAACTCAGCTCTCCACCAAGCAGACCTAATAGACATCTACAGAACTCTCCATCCCAAATCAAAAGAATATACATTCTTTTCAGCACCACACCACACCTATTCCAAAATTGAGCACATAGTTGGTAGTAAAGCACTCCTCAGCAAATGTAAAAGAACACGAAATGAAGGCAGAAATAAAGATGTTCTTTGAAACCAACAAGAACAAAGACACAACATACCAGAATCTCTGGGACACATTCAAAGCAGTGTGTAGAGGGAAACTTATAGCACTAAATACCCACAAGAGAAAGCAGGAAACATCTAAAATTGACACCCTAACATCACAATTAAAAGAACTAGAGAAGCAAGAACAAACACATTCAAAAGCTAGCAGAAGGCAAGAAATAACTAGGATCATAGCAGAAATGAAGGAAATAGACACAAAAAATCCTTCAAAAAACCAATGAAACCAGCAGCTGTTTTTTTGAAAAGATCAACAGAATTGATAGACTGCTAGCAACACTAATAAAGAAGAAAAGAGAGAAGAATCAAATAGACGCAAAAAAAAAATGATAAACAGGATATCGCCACTGATCCCACAGAAATACAAACTACCATCAGAGAATACTATAAACACCTCTACACAAATAAACTAGAATATCTAGAAGAAATGGATAAATTCCTCAACACATACACCCTCCCAAGACTAAACCAGGAAGAACTTGAATCTCTGAGTAGACCAATTAACAGGCTCTGAAATTCAGGCAATAATTAATAGGTTATCAACCAAAAAAAGTCCAGGACCAGATGGATTCACAGCCGAATTCTACCAGGGGTAAAAGGAGAAGCTGGTACCATTCCTTCTGAAACTATTCCAATCAACAGAAAAAGAGGGAATCCTCCCTAACTCATTTTATGAGGCCAGCATCATCCTGATACAAAAGCCTGGCAGAGACACGACAAAAAGAGAATTTTAGACCAATATCCCTGATGAACATCGATGCAAAAATCCTCAATAAAATACTGGCAAACCAAATCCAGCAGCACATCAAAATGCTTATCCACCATGATCAAGTGGGCTTCATCCCTGGGATACAAGGCTGGTTCAACATACGCAAATCAATAAACGTAATCCAGCATAAAAACAGAACCAACGATAAAAACCACGTGATTATCTCAATAGATGCAGAAAAGTCCTTTGACAAAATTCAACACCCTTTCATACTAAAAACTCTCAATAAATTCTATATTGATGGGACGTATCTCAAAATAATAAGAGCTATCTATGACAAACCCACAGCCAATATCATACTGAATGGACAAAAACTGGAAGCATTCCCTTTGAAAACTGGCACAAGACACGGATGCCCTCTCTCACTACTCCTACTCAACACAGTGTTGGAAGTTCTGGCCAGGGCAATGAGGCAGGAGAAGGAAATAAAGGGTATTCAATTAGGAAAAGAGGAAGTCAAATTGTCCCTGTTTGCAGATGACATGATTTTATATCTAGAAAACCCCTTCATCTCAGCCCAAAATCTCCTTAAGCTGATAAGCAACTTCAGCAAAGTCTCAGGATACAAAATCAATGTGCAAAAATCACAAGCATTCTTATACACCAATAACAGACAAACAGAGAGCCAAATCATGAGTGAATTCCCATTCACAATTGCTTCAAAGAGAATAAAATACCTAGGCATCAAACTTACAAGGGATGTGAAGGACCTCTTCAAGGAGAACTACAAACCACTGCTCAATGAAATAAAAGAGGATACAAACAAATGGAAGAACATTCCATACTCATGGGTAGGAAGAATCAATATCGTGAAAATGGCCATACTGCCCAAGGTAATTTACAGATTCAATGCCATCCCCTTCAAGCTACCAATGACTTTCTTCACAGAATTGGAAAAAACTACTTTGAAGTTCATATGGAACCAAAAAGGAGCCTGCATTGCCAAGTCAATCCTAAGCCAGAAGAAGAAAGCTGGAGCCATCACGCTACCTGACTTCAAAATATACTACAAGGCTACAGTAACCAAAACAGCATGGTTCTGGTACCAAAACAGAGATATAGACCAATGGAACAGCACAGAGCCCTCAGAAATAATGCCACATATCTACAACTATCTGATCTTTGACAAACTTGACAAAAACAAGAAATGGGAAAAGGATTCCCTATTTAATAAATGGTGCTGGGAAAACTGGCTAGCCATAGGTAGAAAGCTGAAACTGGATCCCTTCCTTACACCTTATAGAAAAATTAATTCAAGATGGATTAAAGACTTAAATGTTAGACCTAAAACCATAAAAACCCTAGAAGGAAACCTAGGCAATACCATTCAGGACATAGGCATAGGAAAGGACTACTTGTCTAAAACACCAAAAGCAATGGCAACAAACGTCAAAATTGACAAATGGGATCTAATTAAACTAAAGAGCTTCTGCACAGCAAAAGAAACTACCATCAGAGGGAACAGACAACCTACAGAATGGGAAAAAATTTTTGCAATCTACTCATCCAACAAAGAGCTAATATCCAGAATCTACAATGAACTCCAACAAATTTACAAGAAAAAAACAACAACCCCATTAAAAAGTGGGCAAAGTATATGAGCAGACACTTCTCAAAAGAAGACATTTATGCATCAAAAAAACACATGAAAAAATGCTCACCATCACTGGCCATCAGAGAAATGCAAATCAAAAGCACGGTGAGATATCATCTCACAACAGTTAGAATGGCGATCATTAAAAAGTCAGGAAACAACAGGTGCTGGAGAGGATGTGGAGAAATAGGAACACTTTTACACTGTTGGTGGGACTGTAAACTAGTTCAACCATTTGGAAGTCAGTGTGGCGATTCCTCGGGGATCTAGAACTAGAAATACCATTTGACCCAGCCATCCCATTACTGGGTATATACCCAAAGGATTATAAAACATGCTGCTATAAAGGCACATGCACACGTATGTTAATTGCAGCACTATTCCCAACAGGAAAGACTTGGAACCAACCCAAATGTCCAACAATGATAGACTGGATTTAGAAAATGTGGCACATATACACCATGGAATACTATGCGGCCAGAAAAAATGATGAGTTCATGTCCTTTGTAGGGACATGGATGAAGCTGGAAACCATCAGTCTCAGCAAACTATCACAAGGACAAAAAACCAAACACCGCCTGTTCTCACTCATAGGTGGGAATTGAACAATGAGAAAACATGGACAAAGGAAGGGGAACAACACACACTGGGGCCTGTTGTGTGGTGGGGGGATGGGGGAGGGATAGCATTAGGAGATATACCTAATGTTAAATGAAGAGTTAATGGGTGCAGTACACCAACATCACACATGTATACATATGTATCAAACCTGCACGCTGTGCACATGTACCCTAAAACTTAAATAAAAAAAAAAAGAATTTCAATGTCTGAATTTGGTGGGTGGGAGGAACATACATTCAGAGAAGAGGAAATGTTAGATTATCATTTGGAATATGTGTTTTAAAATCCCACAACTGAAAAACAACAACAAAAAACAAACAACCTTATTTAAAAATGGGCAAAGGACTTGAATAAACATTTCTCCAAAGATGATAACACAAATAACAAACAAGTACGTGAAAACATGCTCAACATAATTAGCCATCAGAGAAATGCAAATCACAACCACAATGAGTACCAGTTTACATCCTTTAAGATGGCAATTACAAAGAAAATAAAGAAAAAATAACAAATGTTGGTAAGTATGTGAAGAAACTGAAACTCTTGTGCATTCTTGGTTGGAATGTAATGTAATGCAGCCATTGAGGAAAACATTGTGCTGATTGTTTAAAAAATAAATAAATAAACACAGAAGCACCTTATCATCCAACATTTCTACTTCTGGGGGTATGCCCTAAAGAATTGAAAGCAGGGACTCAAATAGTTATTTGTGTTCCCTTGTTCATAGCAGCATTATTCACAATAGTCAAAAGGTAGAAGCAACCAAAATATCCATCGATGAATGAATCGATAAACAAAATGTGCTGGACACACACACAGACACACACACACACACACACACACACACACAAATGATTATTCAGCTATAAAAGAAGAAAATTCTACTATCTGATATTTATGAACCTTGATGAAATTGTGTTAACCAAAATAAATCCATCACAAAAGGACAAATATTGATAATTCCATGTTTATGAGATACCCAGCAAAATGAGCTGAATTTTATCCCCCAAAATTCTTATGTTGAAGCCCTAACCCCTAATGTGACAATATTTGAAGATAGGGCTTTTAGGAGGTAACTAAGGCTAAATGAGGTTATAGGGGTATGAATCCTAATCTAATAGGATTTTTCCACCTGTAAGAAGAAATACAATAGAACTTGCTCTCTTTCTTTCCATGCGCATGCATCGAGGAAACACCATGTGAGCACATAGAGAGAAGGCAGCCATATATAAGCAAAGAAGAGAGCCCTCACCAGATCCTAATCATGCTGCAACCCTGATTTTAGGCTTCCATTCTCTGGGACTGTAAAAAAAAACAACAAAAAAACAAAAAACAAAAAAAAAACCCACCAAATTTATGTTGTTTAAACCACCCAGTTTATGGCATTTATGTTAAGACATGCAGACCTGCCTAATATGCTTAGAGTAGTCAAATTCATAAAGACAGAACGTAGAATAGTCATTACCAGGGGCTAGTATCACTACTATGCTGTTTTGATTACTGCAGCCTTCAAATATAGTTTGAAGTCAGGTAATGTGATGCCTCTGGCATTTTTTATGTTGTTTGTTTGCTTAAAATTGTTTTGGATATTCAAACTGACTTTTGGCACTATATTTATTGATTTGTGCATGTTGAACCAGCCTTGTATCCCAGGAATAAAGCACTGCTGGATTTAATTTGCTAACATTTTGTTGAGGATTTTTGCATCAACGTTAATCAGGGATATTGACCTGATCTTTTCTTTTATTTTCCTTTCCTCTTTCCTTTCCTTTCAATTTTTCTTTTTTCTTTTCTTTCTTCCTCTCTCTCTCTCTCTCTCTCCCTCCCTCTTCATTTTTCTTTTTTAAAGAAACTTGACCAAAAGACAGTACATAAACACTGGCAATTGAATGTTGAATGTCACCGTATGCATGAAAGTATGTATTTTGTGGTAATGTGAGCTTTTAATATTAAGTCATATTAAATTCTTAAGTTAAATTAAGCAGGCCTGGCGTTGGCAGTGTAGCCATACCTTTCTGATGTTAGTAAAAACAAAATTGGCGACTTGAAATTAAATCTTGCCAAGGTTTTGATACACTTGTCTTAAGATATTAATTAAACACTTCAGAACATTGATACGAAGTGTCCAGATTCTGAGATGTTTGTTGTGTGAATTTTGTTTAGTTATGTGTGTGGTTTTTTTTTTTTTTCAGTGAATGGCACATTGCAATCCTCAAACATGTGGTTATCTTTGTTGTATTGGTGTAATCAGTGACTTGTAGATTCAGCAATAGCATTTGAGCAGTCAGTTTTATCAGCAAGCAATATTTTCAGTTAATAAGGATTCAAAAATCATGTAAAGATTTAAACTTGCCGAATGTAAAGATTGAACCTCAAGTCACTGTAGCTTTAGTAATTGCTTATTGTATTAGTTCAGGTTCTAGCACTGCATGTGCTGTGCATATTCTGATTTTATTAAATAAAAAGATGAACTGCAAAACAAAAAATTTTCTGAAAATAGGCTCTCAATATATTTTGTCTTGTAAAGTTTCTGCTGAGAAGTCTGCTGCTAGCCTGATGGAGTTCCTTCTGTAAGTGACCTGCCCCTTCTCTCTAGCTGTCTTTAAGATTTTTTCTTTTTTTTCAAGCATTAAACATTTAATACCTTATTTTTATTCATACATATTTTGCCCTAATTTCTTTTTTTCTTTTTTTTTTAATTATACTTTAAGTTTTAGGGTACATGTGCACATTGTGCAGGTTAGTTACATATGTATACATGTGCCATGCTAGTGCGCTGCACCCACTAACTCATCATCTAGTATTAGGTATATCTCCCAATGCTATCCCTCCCCCCTCCCCCCACCACACCACAGTCCCCAGAGTGTGATATTCCCCTTCCTGTGTCCATGTGATCTCATTGTTCAATTCCCACCTATGAGTGAGAATATGCGGTGTTTGGTTTTTGGTTCTTCGATAGTTTACTGAGAATGATGATTTCCAATTTCATCCATGTCCCTACAAAGGATATGAACTCATCATTTTTTATGGCTGCATAGTATTCCATGGTGTATATGTGCCACATTTTCTTAATCCAGTCTATCATTGTTGGACATTTGGGTTGGTTCCAAGTCTTTGCTATCATGAATAATGCCGCAATAAACATACGTGTGCATGTGTCTTTATACCAGCATGATTTATAGTCATTTGGGTATATACCCAGTAATGGGATGGCTGGGTCAAATGGTATTTCTAGTTCTAGATCCCTGAGGAATCGCCACACTGACTTCCACAATGGTAGAACTAGTTTACAGTCCCACCAACAGTGTAAAAGTGTTCCTATTTCTCCACATCCTCTCCGGCACCTGTTGTTTCCTGACTTTTTAATGATTGCCATTCTAACTGGTGTGAGATGGTATCTCATTGTGGTTTTGATTTGCATTTCTCTGATGGCCAGTGATGATGAGCATTTTTTCATGTGTTTTTTGGCTGCATAAATGTCTTCTTTTGAGAAGTGTCTGTTCATGTCCTTCGCCCACTTTTTGATGGGGTTGTTTGTTTTTTTCTTGTAAATTTGTTTGAGTTCATTGTAGATTCTGGATATTAGCCCTTTGTCAGATGAGTAGGTTGCGAAAATTTTCTCCCATTTTGTAGGTTGCCTTTTCACTCTGAAGGTAGTTTCTTTTGCTGTGCAGAAGCTCTTTAGTTGAATTAGATCCCATTTGTCAATTTTGGCTTTGACAAAATGGCCATACTGCCCAAGGTAATTTATAGATTCAATGTCATCCCCATCAAGCTACCAATGACTTTCTTCATAGAATTGGAAAAAGCTACTTTAAAGTTCATATGGAACCAAAAAAGAGCCCACATTGCCAAGTCAATCCTGAGCCAAAAGAACAAAGCTGGAGGCATCATACTACCTGACTTCAAACTATACTACAAGGCTACAGTAACAAAAACAGCATGGTACTGGTACCAAAACAGAGATATAGATCAATGGAACAGAACAGAGCCCTCAGAAATAACGCCGCATATCTACAACCATCTGATCTTTGACAAACCTGACAAAAACAAGCAATGGGGAAAGGATTCCCTATTTAATAAATGGTGCTGGGAAAACTGGCTAGCCATATGTAGAAAGCTGAAAGTGGATCCCTTCCTTACACCTTATACAAAAATCAATTCAAGATGGACTAAAGATCTAAACGTTAGACCTAAAACCATAAAAACCCTAGAAGAAAACCTAGGCATTACCATTCAGGAAATAGGCAAGATTTTTTCTTTTGCATTGGCCTTGAGGAGGATGGTTGTCCTTTATAGTATCTGGCTTAAGTTCTCTGTATTTCTTGGATTTGCATGTCAACCTCTCTAGTGAGATTAGAAAAATTTTCATGGACTATATCCTCAAATATAGTTTCCAAGTTGCTTATTATCTCCCCTTCTGTGTCAGGAATGCCAATGAGTCATAGATTTGGTCTCTTTACATGATCCCATTGTTCTTGGAGATTTCGTTGATTTTTCTTCATTTTCCTCTTTATTTTTGTCTCATTGAATTGACTCAAAGAACTTGTCTTTGAGCTCTTAGATTTTGTCCTCAGCTTAGTTTATTCTGATGTTAATACTTCAGATTAGGAAATTCTTTTTTTCATTAATATCAGCTTTATTTAGGTATAATATACATGCAATAAAATTATTTTTTAACATAAGCATTTAAACTGTATATTTCCCTATAACCACTGCTTTAACTACACCACATAAGCTTTGATATATTGTATTTTTGTTTTCATTTTCATTCATTTCTAATTTCTCTTGTGATTTATTCTTTGACCTATTGCTTATTTAGGGGTGTGTCTGTGTGTGTGTGTTTAAATTTGCACACAATTGAGAATTTCCAAATTTTCCTTTTGTTACTGATTATTGATTTCACCCCATGGCTGGGTGTGTTGGCTCACACCTATAATACCAGCATTTTGGGAGGCCGAGGTGGGCAGATCACTTGAGGCCAGGAGTTCAAGACCAGCCTGGCCAACATGGCAAAACCCTGTCTCTACTAAATATACAAAAATTAGTTGGGTGTGGTGGTGAATGCCTGTAATCCCAGCTACTCAGGTGGCTAAGGCACAAGAATCACTTGAACCTGGGAGGCAGAGGTTGCAGTGAGCCAAGATTGTGCTACTGCACTCCAGCCTGGGTGACAGAGTGAGACTCTGTCTCAAAAAAAAAAAAAAATTCCATTGTGATTGCAGAAGTTTGTATGATTTCAATCTTTTAAATTTATTGAGGCTCAATTTGTAGTCTAATTCATACTTGAGAAGAACATGTATCTGCTGTTGTTTAGAGTGTTCTATAGATGCCTTTGAGGTCTAGTTGGTATAGAGTGTTGTTTGAGTCTTCTATTTCTTTGTTGAACTTCTGTCCAGTTGTTCTATCCATTATTGAAAGTGGGGTACTGAAGCCTCCAGCTATTATCACTGAATTTCTATTTCTCCCTTCAATTCTATTAGTTTTTGCTTCATGTATTTTGGAGCTTAGGTGTTAGGTGCACATACATTTATAGTTATGTCTTCCTGATGGAGCAATCCTTTTATAATTATAAAATGTCTCTTTTTTTGCTTCCAGTAATGATTTTTGTCTTACAGTCTATTCTGCCTGATAGTAGCATAGCCATTCCAGCTTTCTTTACTGTTTGCATGACATATATTTTCCCATCCTTTTACTTTCAACCTATTTGTGTCTGACTCAGTTTGTCTTCTGTAGACAGCATATAATTGGATCATGTTGTTTTTTTAAAAAATTATTCTGCCAATCTCTGCCTTTTGGTTGGAGCATTAATCAACTCACATTTAATGTAATTATTGATAAAGTAGGATATATGCCTGCCATTTCGCTGTTTTCTGTGTGTATTTCCTTTTTGTTCCTCTGTTTTGCCATTACTATCTTCTGTCATTACTGCATTCTTTGTGTTAGGTATTTTTCTAGTATACAATTTTAACTCTCTTGCTGTTTCTTCCACTATGCATTTTTTGAGTTATTTTCTTAGAGGCTGCCCTGAGGATCGTCATTAATATTTTGACTTAAAACTAGTTCAGAATTCTTGTAGTGAATTTTGCAGCTCAAAAGTTCAGTTTGGGTCTTTCTTAAAATGGCTTTTTCAACTTTAAGCTCTTGAATCATTTTACTTGATGTCTTGGCTTCCTTGGATTGAGTTACAATTTTTCCCAGGGATTTCGGTGACCTTTCTTGCCAGCCACATTCTGAATTCCATGTGTATCATTTGAGACATTTCGGGCTGTTTAAGAACCATTGCTGGGGAGCAAGCAGGCCCATTTGGAGGTAAGGGGACACTTTGGCTTTTTTAATTGCCAAAGATCTTGTGCTGATTCTTTCTCTTCTGGGAGGGTTGGTGTTCTTTTTTTGTGGTTTAAATTGAGTATAGTCACTTGGCTTCGTTTTGAGTTTTCAGAAGGCTAATTAAAGCTTTGTACAGAGTCTTTGTTTTTTGTTAACTTCTTATCCTTGATTTTCCAAAGGGTAAAATTAGCAGTGTTTTTTGGTGTTGTGGTTTGGACTGCAATCCAGTAGATGATGCTTGAGAGCAATGGGTGGTACATAGGCTCATATTCAGTCATGTGACTCCTTTGTTCCTCTTTGCATTTGAAGCTGTGCTCTATGGGACAGGGAGGTGATCTACTCACCAGGTCCACTTCTGAGCTTTCAGGGAGCCACCTCAGATCACTAGCACTGGGCCCTCAATTTTTTTGTTGCTGTTAAGAGTTTCAAGCCACAGGGCTCCTTTGAGCAGAAGTCTGGTAAAGAAATAGGCCAGACACTTACCAGGTGATCTTATGGAGAGAGGCATGCCTAGTTCCCAAACCAGCCTGCAAACCTAAATGACTCACCTCTCTCAGGTTCTGGAGAGTGCTTGTTCCTCTCCCACTTGAGTGCTGGGCACAGATCCTGGCTCAGAACTCCTGATCCACAGGCTTCAGCCATGGGCACCAGGAACTACTCGTGGCTTCCTCCTCCAGACTCTGGAGTTTAAATTCTGGGTATTTTGTAAAACTCAGAGGGCTCCCAGCCTGCTGGAATGCACTCAGATGGAGCAAAGCACCGAGGTTGGGCAAGAGGGCTGTACTCTGAACTTGTTCTTGTGGGTGGCCAGCCAGGAGCCCTGGGAGTGGCTGGCAGCAGGCATGCAGGACAGACATGCACCAGTCTCATAGGGAAGCTAGCCTTGCTTTTTCCCTGGCAGTTATCTAGGGCCAGCTCCTCTTAGAGGGAGATGAAGTGCTCTGAAAAATGAATGCTTATGGTCAGGCTCTGCTGGAGCTATCCTGTATACAAAGTCCCTGGCTTTGTGCCTGCTGCAGTTCCATCTCTATCTAATCTCCACGGAGATCCTCCTGCCAGCTCAAATATTTGTGGAAGGATGTGGAATCCCCTACAGATAGGATCTCAGAGGTCCGTGGTGATGGTGAACACTCTCTCAGTTGCTTCACTTGCTCCTTCCCCAGTAGCTGTTTGGGGCTAGGAACCAGCCCTAACATTTAGGCACCACATGTAGTGCTCTCAGCTTCCTCCCTCATCAGTGTCAGCTTCTGCATCTATTCTCCATCCACATTTAACATTTTTTTTCTCCAAAGATCTGTTCAAATTATGCTAGTTTAGCTGAAATCCTAGTCTCTGTATGTGGGAGTGACCCTTTGCAGCTGAATAAAGATGGCCATCTTGAAATTCCTTCCAATGACCATGTTTCTATCAAAAATTACTCATCATAGTTCATGTCCTTTGCAGGGACATGGATGAAGCTGGAAAACATCATTCTAAGCAAACTAACACAATAACAGAAAACCAAACACCACATGTTCTCGCTCATAAGTGGGAGTGGAACCATGAGAATAAATGGACACGGGGAGGGGAACATCACACATCGGGGCCTGTCCGGAGGTGGTGGCTAGAAGAGGGACAGCATTAGGAAAAATACCTAATGTAGATGACAGGCTGATGGGTGCAGCAAACCACCATGGCACGTGTATACCTATGTAACAAGCCTGCACGTTCTGTACATGTATCCCAGAACTTAAAGTACAATAAAAAAAGAAGAAGAAAAACAAATACTGAGAGGATGATAAAGATAATACACATAATGAGGAAATCAAATTCATCTCTAGGGTTGGGACACATTAATCCATGTTACTGTAATTATGATGGGAACACCTCTGATTATTCAAATGAAATTTAAAAAATTACCCATCATACCAAAAAAGAGAAGTATCTCAAGCTGAATGAAAAAAGACAATCTGTGTCTTCACCTCTGTGTGCTTTCTCTTTTACGACAGACCTCCAAGAGACAAGATCCATGTACTCAATCACACTAGGTCCATTTGACCTTTCTCATTCTTCTGTAGTCTCTTCTCTGTGACTTTTGACAAAAATACTCGGTTCACAATATTAGCTGCCTGCTTCTGATGGGTAGGAGGTATATAATCAAAATACTCCCACCAAAGCACTCTATGGTCTAGACTTGATACATAAAATTTAGCATTCCTCCACAAGGATACCTTGAGGTAACAGGAGATATTTTGGTAAGTGAAAATAATTCCTGCTTGGAACACAGCTTACTGAACTCAGGGTTCCATTTCTTTTGAGTATTAGGCAGTTCTCAATAAATTGATGTATATTGAGGAATGATTCTAAAGAGGTTAGTGATATCCTGTTTGAGAATAGATTTAGAAAACTGAAGGTACTCTCCAGCTCTACAATTCTGTATTAGGAACAATAGGGAAATGAAAAAGTGTCTCTATATTGCAGTCTAGTCAGTCAGCATCCTCACCCAGAGATCGCAACATCTATTAAGATCAATGCAATACCTTTTCATCTTCAACAAATGTTGTTTCATCTGTTTTTTATCCTTGGCATTGTCAAGAAGTTAACTGCAGGTCCAGTGTATATTTTTTCTTATTTTTCCCTTTTAGCTATCTGCTAAAATGAGTAAATGCCACAACTGTACTTTTCCAAAGAAACATAACTATTGACAACTTATAGTCTGTCATGCAGGTCATGTTTCAAATAAAGGCTGAAATTTTCAACAGCTGTGGGAAAAACTAAAACACAGAAACATTGTACAATATTAGTGTTTTTTTAAATAAATTGTGCATTATTGAGTATACTAAATATCTGTGATAGATTAAATTAGTTCTAATCTTACTTTTGATTTTGGGAGCCCAAAATAAAGGGAATGTTGTTTTCATGGTTATGCCTTGTTTATGGAGTCAAGTGTTGATATACTTGAGGCATGTTATGTGTCTTCTAATTAATATTTTTATCACCTTGAAATTGTGTCTCTTCCGAGCATTAAACTTTAAGATACTATGGATCTTAAATTCCTTATTAAAAAAATGAAAGTGTGGAAAAAAAGAAAGAAAAAAGACAATCAATAGATGCCAACATCAAAATGACAGTGATGTGAAAATTATCAGATAAAGATTTGTAAAAAAAAAAACATGAAAAAGCTTCAATTACCAATTACAAACATAGTTGAAGCAAATAAAAAAATTAATACAGCTACAGATTCAATAAGTTGAGCAAACACAAAAAAGGAAAAAAACAAATAAATCCATGCCATACCACATGTTCTCACTCATATGTGGAAGCTGAAAATGTTCTCATAGAACTAGAGAGTAGAATAGTGGTTAGAAGAGGTGGGAAAAAGTAACAGAGAGTGGTGTAGCCAAAAGTTAACAAACAGATACAAAAGTACAGCTAAAAGAATGGAATATATTATAGTGTTCTATAGTATTATAGAATGATTATAATTTACAATGTATATTGGAATACTATGCAGCCATAAAAATGATGAGTTCATGTCCTTTGTAGGGACATGGATGAAGATGGAAACCATCATTCTCAGCAAACTATCGCAAAGACAAAAAACCAAACACCGCATGTTCTCACTCATAGGTGGGAATTGAACAATGAGAACACATGGACACAGGAAGGGGAACATCACATACCGGGGCCTGTCGTGGGGTGGGGGGAGGGGAGAGGGATAGCATTAGGAGATATACCTAATGTTAAATGACGAGTTAATGGGTGCAGCACACCAACATGGCACATGTATACATATGTAACAAAGCTGCACGTTGTGCATATGTACCCTAAAACTTAAAGTATAATAAAAAAAAAATTACAATGCATTGTGTATTTTCAAATTGCAGAAGAATGGATTTTGAATGTTCCTAACACAAAGAAATGATAAATGTTTGAGGTGATGGATATGTTAATCACTCTGATTGAATCATTATGCATTGTATACACCTATCGAAATACCACACTGTATCCTATAAATATGTACAATTATTATAGGTTAATTTTTAATTAAAAATAATAATAAAAGCAAAAAATAAAGCAATCCATGCCAAGACACATTAAAGTCTAGATTCTGAAAACTAAAGACAAAGAAAAGATCTTTGGTCGAGTAACTATAGTTTACAATAATCTATGATATATCATTATTTTTTATAAGCTCTTGCTCTGTCACCTAACCTGGAGTGCAGTGGCTTGATCATAGCTCAATGCAGCCTTGAACTCTTGGGCTCAAGTAATCCTCCCACCTCAGCTTCCTGAGTAGCTAAGGCTAAAGGTGTGCACCACCACAAATCACTGAATACTTAATTTTTTTGTGAAGATGGCAGTCTTGTTTTGTTGCTCAGGCTGGTCTCAAACTCCTGCCCTCAAGCAATCCTTGCATCTTGGCTTCCCAAATTATTGGGATTACAGGTATAAGCCACCACACCCACATTACTAAATATTTCAGAAAAGCTAGAGGAGAATAATTTGAATGTGTCTATCATAAAAAGATAAATTTTAAGGTGAAGGATATCCCAATTATGCTATCTTGATATTTACAAATTATATAAATGTATTAAATTATCTATTGTACCCCCAAAATATGTATGTTTAATATAAATTAATAAAAATAATTTTTAGAAAGAAAGATATTAAAAGCTGTGTGAGAAATGAAACTTGTACCTTTAGGAGAAAAGCAATTTGAATGACATGAACACCACCAGCAGACTGTGATGAATTATGTGTATATAATGTAACACCTAGAAAAACCATTATACAAGCTATACAAAGAGATAGACTGAAAAAAATTATAAACTGGTAGTGAAATAAGCCTGTCACAGAAGAACAAATACTGCATGATTCCACTTATGGGAGGTGTCTAAAGTAGTCAAACTCATAGAAGCAGAAAGTAGAATGGTGATTGCTAAAGTTGGGTGAGGGGAAAATGGGAGTTGCTGCCAATGGGTATAAAGTTTCACTTGTGCAAGATGAATAAATCCTAGAAATCTACTGTACAGCATAGTGCCTACAGTTAACAATATTTTATTGTATACTTATAAATTTGTGAAGATAATCTTAAGTTACATTCTTATAAAAATTAATAATAATAAAGTTGATGGGAGGAAGTTTTTGGAGATGTTGGGTATGTTTATGTCATAGATTGTGTTGACGGTTTCATAGGTAAATACTTATCTTCACACTCATAAAGTTGTATACATTAAAAATGAACAGCTTTTTGTATGTCAATTATACATCAAAAAATTGTTTAAAAAATAAAAGAATACACGTAGATAAAATGTCTACACACACACAGACACACATACACACATATATTGTACCAATTTCTGTTTTCTGGTTTTGATACTGTAGTTAAGCTAGGTAAGAGGTAACCATTTTGAGAAACTATGTGAAAGGCATATGATACCTCTCTGTACTTCATTTGCAACTTCCCATGAACCTATAATTCTTTCAAAATAAATAAAGTTCTAAAATATACCATTTAGGGTAGTATCAAAATTATAAATTAGAAATAATCTAAAAAGTGAGCAAGACCTATATATTAAAACCTAAAAAACATTGCTGAGACATTAAGAATAACTAAATAAGTGGTGTGATATACCATGTCCATGGATCAGAATATTTTACAAACCTCTCCTGAGTGGTTCACCTTGCCACCACTCTCTACTTCACTATACATCCTCTTAAATTTGCATTAACTCCCCAGCTCCAGACAGTTTTTCAAAGCACAGATGTGGCAAATTTTCATTATTAGGCCCAAAAACTCAGCTGTTTGCTTATATTGATTTACTTCAAGCACCTGGAATGAAAAAACATAGGACTCCTGAAGGTTAAAATCCCAAGTAAATGAAGGGAAAGATAATAGCAATAATGATTAGACAAGAGGAGCACAAAACAAAACCCACTAAGAGAATAAATGAGCTATGACTTCAGGGAACTCTATATTCTCTAACTCCCAAACCTGCCTACTACTTAAACATTTACACTGGTTTATGCAATAATTATAATGAGTTTTCCTATCAGATAGTAGATTTGCGGTAAAAAAAAAATGTTTGCAAGTTTTTATAGCTTGTATTCAGTAGATGAGGGTTTGGATGAGGGATACCCAGACTTATATTAGTACACTCACCATTGAAATCTCTTGTTTAAAGATTGATATATGGTTGTTTCTACCTGTCATCAGACTATGAGCACCTGGAGAAAATAAAAACTGTCATTTCATCTGTACATCAACTCACAGATCTCAGAACATCATCCTGTACAAAATGCCTCATGTAGCTAGTTTTGCCACTAGGAATTTCACTAATGACTCCAGACTTCTAGTTCAGAAGTCTTTCTATTTTATGAAAGAAATAAAAGATTAGAATATGGTGAACTCAGAGGCACCAACTTTTAGCAGTAGACGGTTTAAGGAGTTTCTCATTGCTACTCCTTACTTCCAAGGCTCCTGGGTTTCTTATCCAAACCTGTGGAAAAAAATAAAAGTTGTGGGCCTGATGAGGAAAATCCATGGATCCTAGGAATGAGATTGTAAGTAGAAATTAAAGAGCACTGATGAATGACCATACTTTATCTAGTATTCTGCCATAATGCACTTTTGTAAGCATCCAGAAGTGGGTCTAGGAACTCACAGAACTGGGAGTAAAAGAGGACTTAAAGTAGAAAAGCTTAGAACCCCTTACATACCATAGGATCCAAACAAGAGAGCAGTATACCTTTGCTCTTATCTTCCAGAGAAATAGCAGAGCCATCACTTGGGTCTGGAACCTAGGTCACTGTCTGTAATTCAGCTGTTCAGAGCACCATCCTGGGGGTTAGCAAACACTGAATCATACAATAATGGAGTGTATAAATAAAATTATTTTACTTACCCCTCTGTGTATAGCTTATCTGAAAAACTCATGGGGAAAAAGGAGAGAGAGTTAGGGTAGGAATGTGAAAGCTCTGAATCCCCAGTCAAAATATTAACTAAAAACTTAAACACCTGACTCTTCCCATCTGACACAGGAAGACACTTAAATGTTTTTGAGTAGTCAATACAGGTAGAGAAGAGGAGACAATAAACATAAGGAAAACTAAAACTTTTAAAGGAATAAAAGACTGAATAAACCAGATGACTTTAGAGAAGATTTCAAGGCATCCTGAGAGTACTAGACTTGCCCTCATGGATATATAATGCCTGAATATAAAACAACTTCCTTCCTTCAGAAGGTAAAGCTTGCCCTAGAGAAGCCGATACCTTATAATCCCTGTTTTAAGAACCACGTAAGTTTTATTTTTCTTTCCAAGATACGAGATTAGAGAATTTTAGCATGCCTAGCCACTTGGAAATAGCAAGATAGTGCATAAAGATCACCTCTTTGAATTTTAATTGAAGGAGGAAAACAAAATTCCACTGGAAAAATGAAGGACACGCCAGATCCTGGGGAAGAGAATGCTGGCAAACAGTCTGCAGGTAAACACTGATAAAACTGAGTGAAGCTGCAGTACGTGAGAGAGGCTGAGAGCCTCCCTCTGTTACCATCTTTTCCACTGCGGATCTGAGCAACTCAACCTGAGGGAGAGTAGTTTGTTCCTCCCAAATCCTGGAGCTAACTTGGATGGGAGATGCTGTGAGGAAAAAACACCAGGAAAATGTGCAGATGTTTTCCCAGATGCAGGACTGAGAGCGGAATGCCATTTTTAATTAAAGCACATAAAGAGTCAGCCATCCTTTGCTGACCTGGATGCATGGCCATGCAGGAATTTTACTCTTGGGCCAGGAACTTGAAGAACTGCTCTGGAGTGGGGTAAGGGCCTCCACAGCAAGAACCATGAATAATGCTCCAGCAGTAGGTGGTGAAATTGTGTTCTCTCCTGCCACAGGCCTGGGGAAGGAGGAGAGTTGCTACAGCTAAAGTTTCTCATGGGCAAAGAGACTTGAAGCCAGAGTCAGTGTGTTGACATGGAACCAATCTGTGTGTGCCATTCCTGGGTGCCCCAGTCTGTTCCTCTGAGATTGTGGTGCAGTGGGGCCCTCTCTGCTCCACCCCCAGAGAGAAATCCAGGTATTCAGAGAACCCACTTGCTGGCACCAGCAGCCTGAAATGCCCCACCCTCCATGGACATAGATTGTGGTGCAGCAGGGCCCTCTCCACTCCATGCCCAGAGAAATCTCCAGGTATTCAGAGAACCCCTGCACCCAGATCAACAGCCTGACCCAGTCCACCTTTCTTGTACATAGATTGAGGTGCAGTGGGGACACTCTGTATTCAACATGTAGGCAGATCTCCCAGCATTTCTAACACTTGTGTAGACTAGCACTCTAAGTTGCCCTACCATTCTTGGACATAAATTGTGGTGCAGGGGTGTCCTCTGTACTCCACATCCCAGCAGATCTCCAGAAATCTAGAGCACCCACTGTCCTGGATTAAGAGTATAGTCAACCACAATCCCCATGCAGAGAACTTAGGGATGAAGAAGTTTCACTGCTCCGTGCCTAGGCACATCTCTGGGCACTTGGCAGTCACCCACTGGATTCTCCATTGGTGCTGGTGCCTGTGCCTGTCATTGGGGGACCAGTAGGCAGCCTCACCCATCTTGTCCCCCAGTTTCCCCCAAGGCCCAGCACAAGAATTCAGAAACTAAAAGAAATCTGAATGTAGTGACACCACCAAAAAATCGCAATAGCTCTCCAGCAATGTTACCTAATCAAAATGGAAACTAAGAAATGTCAGATAAAGAACTCCAAGCATGGATTGCAAGGAAACATAACAATATCAAACACAACGTTGAAAATCAACATGAAAAATTTCTAGAGCAATCAAGGAAATAAAGAAAGAGATAAACATCTTAAGAAAATAATCAGTTGGAGCTTCTGGAATTGAAAAACTCACTTAGGGAATCTCAAAATACAGAACAAAGATTTATCAGTAGACTGAATCAAGCAGAAGAAAGAATTTCAAAGGTTGAAGACCAGTTTTTTTAACTAACCCATTCAGACAGAAAATAAAGAAAAAAATATTTAAATGAAACAAAGTCTTTGAGATATATGAAAATATACAAAGCAATGAAGCCTATTAATGATTGGCATTCCTGAAAGAGAAGGGAGAAAAAGTAAACAACATTGACACTCTGAAAACATATTTGAGAGAGTAATTCAGAAAACCTTCCCTAATCTTGCTAGAGAGGTAGACAACTAGATAGAAGAAATCCAGATGACACTTATGAGATGGTTTCGCTCTGTGTCCCCACCCAAATCTTGTCTCAAATCCCATAATTCCCACGTGTTGTGGGAGGAACCCAGTGGGAGATAATTTCAATCATGGGGGTGGTTAACCCCACACTGTTCTCATGGCAGTGAATATGTCTCATGACATCTGATGGTTTTATCAGGGGTTTCCACTTTTGCATCTTCCTCATTTTTTCTTGCTGCTGCCAAGTAAGAATGCCTTCTGCCTCCCATCATGATTCTGAGGCCTCCCCAACCTTGTGGAACTATAAGTCCAATTAAACTATTTCTTCCCAGTCTCGGGTATGTCTTAATTAGCAGTGTGAAAATGGACTAATACAACTTGCAAGATACTATACAAGGCAAACATCACCAAGGAATATAGTCACCAAACTGTCCAAGATAACTCCTAAAAATAAAATCTTAAAGGCAGCCAGAGAAAAAGGTCAGATCATGTACAAAGGGAAATCCATTATACTAAAAGGAGACTTCTCAGCAGAAAACTTACAAGCCAGGAGAGACTGAAGATCTGCTTTCAGCATCCTTAAAAGAAAGAAATTCCAACCAAGAATTTCATATCCCACCAAACCAACCTTTATAAGTGAAGGAGAAATACAATCTTTTCCAGATCAGCAAGTGCTAAGTGAATTTATCAACACTAGACCAGCCTTCCAGTAGATCATTAAGGAAGTTTTAAACATGGAAACCAAAGAACATCCGAGAAAAAAAAAAAAAAACACTTAAATTAAGTACCTATTAAGTACCTAGCCCACAAACCCTATAAAGAAACCACATAATAGAAACTACAAACAAATCAACAACATAACAACTTCATGATAGGATCAAAATCTAATATATCAATATTAACACTGAATGTAAATGATATAAATGCCCCCACTTAATAGGCACAGAGGGGCAAATTGTATAAAAAAATTAACACCCATCCATCTGCTGTCTTCTAGGAACAAATCTCACATGTAATGACACACGTAGTCTCAAAGTAAAGGGTGGGAGAAAGATCTACCATGCAAATGAAAACAAAATAAGCAGGGATCACTATTCTGATAAATTCTTATAAAACAGATTTCAAACCAACGACAGTAAAAAAGATAAATGTTTCAATTCAACAAGAAGACATAAATATCCTCAATATATATGCACCCAACATTGAAGTACCTAAATTCATAAGAGAAATACTTCAAGACCTACAAAAAGACTGAGGCAACCACACAATAAAATTGGGTGACCTCAACACACCACTGACAGCATTAGACAGACTTTTAGGGCAGAACACTAACAAAGAAGTTCTGGACTTTCAATAAAATCTGCCATCTTTTCATGATAAAAATTCTCAACAGACTAGACATCAAAGAAACATACCATAAAATAATAAAAGCCATCTAAATAATAAAACCCAGAGTGAACATCATACAGAGTGGGCAAAAACTGGAAGGATTCCCCTTGAGAACTGGAGTAAAACATAAATGCTCACTCTCACCATTTCTATTCAATACAGTATTGGAGGTGCTAGCCAGAAAAATCAGATTAGAGAAAGAAATAAAAGGCATTCACATAGTAAAAGAAGAGATAAAATTATATCTCTTTACAAAGGATATGATTCTATACCTAGAAAACCCTAAAGGCTCAGCCAAAAGACTCCTGGAACTGACAACTTCAGCAAAGTTTCAAGACATGAAAGCAATGTCCAAATATCAGTAGCATTTCTACATACTAATAATGTTCAAGCTGATAGTCAAATAAAAAATGCAATCTCATTTACAATAACCACAAAAAAATCACTAGGAATACATTTAACTAAAAGGAGTTTTACAAAATAATGTTGAAATAAATCATAAATGACACAAACAAATGGAAGAACATTTAATGCTCATAAACTAGAAAAATCAATATAATTAAAATAACCATACTGGCCAAAGCAATTTACAGAATCAACATTATTCTTATCAAACTACCAATGTCATTTTTCACATAATTTAAAAAAAATTCTAAAATTCGCGTGAAACCTAAAAAGAGCCCAAATACCTAAAAGGAGCCCAAATAGCTAAAACAATCTTAATATAAACGAAAAAAAAGCTGGTGGTATCACATTACCCAATGTCAAACTATACTGTAAGCCTACAGTAACCAAAACAGCATGGTACTGGTATAAAAACAGACACATAGACCAATGGAACAAAATAACCTAGAAATAAAGCTGCACACCTTCAGCCATCTGGTCTTTGACAAAGTTCACAAAAATAAACAATGAGGAATGAATTCATTACTCAATAAATGGTTCTGGAATAACTGGCTATCAACATGTAGAAGAATTAAACTGTATCCCTACCTTTCACTGTATACAGAAATGAACTCAAGACCTAAACTATAAGAATTCTATAAACAACGCTATAAACACCATTCTGTATATTGGTCTTAGAAATAAATTTATGACTTATTCCTCAAAAGCAATTGCAACAAAAATAAAAATTGACAAATGTGACCTAATTAAAAAGAGCATCTGCACAGTAAAAGAAACAATCTACAGATTAAACAAACTGAAGAATGAGAGAAAATATTCACAAACTAACAAAGGCCTAATATCTAGAAACTATAATGAACTTAAACAAGTGAACAAGCAAAAAACAAAGAACCCCATTAACAAGTGGGCAAAAGACATAAACACTTTTCAAAAGAAGACATACAAACAGCCAACAAACATATGAAAACATGCTCCACATCACTAATCATCAAAAAATGCAAATCAAAACCATAATGAGATACCATCTTACAACAGTCAGAATGGCTACTATTAAAAAGTCAAAAACTAACAAATGCTGGTGAGGCTACAGAGAAAAGGGAATGCTCATAAACTGTTGGTGGGAATGTAAATTAGTTCTGCCATTGTGGAAAGCAGTTTAGAAATTTGTCAAATATCTTAGAACTATCATTCAACCCAGGATTCCCATTACTGGCTGGATATCCAAAAGAAAATAATTCATTCCACAAAAAAGACACAGGCAACCATTGCCGCAACATGGATGCAGCTGGAGGCCATTATCCTAAGCAAATTAATGCAGAAACATAAAACCAAATACCGCATGGTCTCACTTTTAAGTAGGGTGTAATCATTGGGTACTCATAGATATAAAGATAGCAACAAAAGAAATTTGCGACTACTGAGAGGAGAGAGAAATAAAGGGCTAAGTATTAGAAAACTAATTATTGGGTACTATGCTAAGTATGTGGGTAATGGGATTACTCATAACCCAAACTTCAGCATCATCCTATATACTCATGTAACAAACCTGCAATGTACCTTCTGAATTAAAGTTAAAATTCGGTTTTCTAAAAATAAACCGTGTAAACTCCTCAAGAATGGGAAATGTAAACTCTTCAATAACCACTGTTGAAAAAACTGAATATCTGTATGCAGAAGAATAAAACTAGATCCCTATCTCCTGTAATAAGCAAAAATCAAATTAAATGGATTAAAGACCTAAACCTAAGACCTGAAACCATGAAATTACTAACAGAAAATATTGGAGAAATGCTCCAGGACATTGGTCAGCATAAAGACTTCTTGAGTAAGACAACAAAAGTATAGGTAATCAAAGCAAAAAACAACAAATGGAATCATAGCAAACTAAATGACTTCTGCATGGCAAAGAAAAGGATCAACAAATAAACAGATGACCTACAGAACAGGTGATAATATTAGCAATCAACTTATCTAACAAGGAATTAATAACTGGAATATATAAGTAATTCAAACATCTCAATAAAAAATAATTTGATTAAAAATGGGTAAAGAATTTGAATTGACATTGCTCAAAAGATGACATAAAAATAGTCTACAGGTATATGAAAAAATGCTCAACATCACTAATCATCAGAGAAATTCAAATTAAAATCACAATGAGCTATCATCTCACCCCAGTTAAAGTGGCTATTATAAAAAAATGGGCAATAACAGATGCTGGCATGGATAAAAGGGAACCCTTGTACACTGCCAGTGGGAATGTGTATTACTAAAACCACTTATGGTATGAAAGTTCCTCAAAAAGCTAAAAATAGAACTGCCATATTGCAATCGAAAAACAGGTTAGTGGCTTACCACATGTAGTGTCCAATGAACAAGCGTGAGTACTGGTACAAAAAAAGAAATTCAATTTTAAAATTAGCTTGGAAGAAGTATCACATTTAAAGTGTCCTGCTGTAAATGTGCTGTTTTGCCTTTGCAGCAAAAAGTAGACATTTTTATAAGGTAGGGGAGGAAATGAGCAAGGGGAGGGGTTCCCTGCTAGCTTGTGCCTTATCTACCAGAAAGCTGAGTTGGCACCTTCCTGGGCAGAAGTAAGTTGTAAAACTGGCCAAGTGTGCATGCTTTCGGCATGCTCTCCTGAGGTGACCCCCTGGATGTGGGAGTTCCAACCTGGAGCACATAGATGAACTTGCCCTGGAGGGAATGTTCAACAAAGCTGACAAAAACAAGCAATGAGGAGAGGACTCCCTATTCAGTAAATGGTGCTGCGGTTACTGGCTAGGTATATGCAGAAGAATGAAAGTAGATCCTTACCTTTCACCATATACAAAAATTAACTGAAGATGGATTAAATATTTAAATGTAAGATCTCAAACAAAAAATTCCAGAAGCAAACCTAGGGAATACCCTTCTTAACGTTGGCTTTGGCGAAGAATTTATGGCCAAGTTCCCAAAAGCAATTGCAATAGAAACAAATTGACAAGTAGGGCCTAAATAAATAAAAGAGCTTCCGAACAGTTAAAAAGAAAGAAAGAAAGAAAGAAAGAAAGAAAGAAAGAAAGAAAGAAAGAAAGAAAGAAAGAAAGAAAATCAATAAAAACCAGACAACCTACAGAATGGGAGAAAATATTGACAAACTATGCATCTGACAAGGGTCTAATATCCAGAATCCTTAAGAAACTTAAGCAAATCAACAAGTAAAAAACAAAAAACCCTGTTAAAAAGTAGACTAAGGACATGAAGAGACACTTCTCAAAAGAAGACATACAGGCGGCCAACAAACATGAAAAAATACTCATTACTAATCCTCAGAGAAATGCAAGTCAAAACTACAATGAGATATTATCTCACACCTTTCAGAATGGCTACTATTAAAAAGTCAAAAGACAATGCTGGTGAGGCTGTGGAGACAAGAGAATGCCTATGCACTGTTGGTGGAAATGTAAATTAGTCTAGTCTCTGTGGAAAGCAGTTTGGAGATTTATCAAAGAACTTAAAACAGAGCTACCATTCCACCCAGCAATTCCATTGCTGAATATACACCCGAAGGAATATAGATCATTATACCAAAAACACACATGCACTCATATGTTTGTCACGTTATTATTCACAATAGCAAAGACATAGAATCAACCTAGGTGCCCATCAATGGTGGATTGGATAATGAAAATGTGGTACAAATATATCATGCAATACTACGTAGCCATAAAACAGAATAAAATCATGTCCTTTGCAGCAACATGGATGGAGCCAGTGGCTATAATCCTGACTGAATTAACACAGGAATAGAAAACCAAATATGTATATTCTAACTTATATGTTGGAGCTAAACATTGAGCACATGTGGACATAAACGTGATAACAATAAGCACTGTGGACTACTAGTGCAAGGAGGGAGGGGGATGTGGGTTCGAAACTACCTATTGGGTACTATGCTCACTATCTGGATCCAATATGCTTATGTAACAATCCTACCTATGTACCTTCTATAACTAAAGTAAAAGCTGGAGGTAATGGATATCCCAATTACCTCTATTTTATCATTACACAATGTATGCTTGTATCAAAATTTCACATGGACCCTATATATATGTACAGCTATTACATACCCAGAATAATTGTTTAAAAATTTAAAGAGTGAGATATGTACAATAGATAAGGGAAATGCTTTTAATATTTCAGGTTTACCATAACACATTTTCATGAGTAAAAGAGATACTGAGGCTCTTTTTTCAACTTCTATTTTAGAATCAGAGGGTACATGTGCAGGTTTGTTTCAAAGGTAAGTTGTGTGATGCTGAGGCTTGGGGTATGACTGAACCTATCACCCAAGTAGTGAGCATAGTGCCCAATAGGTAGTTTTTCAGCCCTTGACCTCTTCCTTCTCTCCCTCCTCTAGTAGTCTCCAGTGTCTGTTGCTCCCATGTTAATGTCCATGGGTACCCAATTGTTTAGCTCCCATTTGTAAGTAAGAACATGCAGTATTTGGTTTTCAAGGAAAAAACAAATATTTATAAATTATTACTTATACAATAAGTATAATTACTTATACTTTGGAATTAGTTTGCTTAGGATAATGGCCCCTGGCTGCATTCATGTTGCTGTAAACAACATGATTTCATGCTTTTCCAAGGCTGCATAGTATTCCATGTTGTATTTGTACCACTTTTTTTTTATTCAATCCACCATTGATGGGCACCTTGGTTTATTCCATGTTTATGCTATTATGATGGGCACTGCAATGAATGTACAGGTGCATGTGTCCTTGTGGAAGAATGATCTATTTTCCTTTGGGTATATACCCAGCAATGGAATTGCTGGGTTAAACAGTAGTTCAACTCAGTTCTTTGAGAAATCTCCAAACTGCTCTCCACAGTGGCTGAACTAATTTATATTCACACCACCATTGCATATGTCCCCTTGTCTTCACAGCCTCCCCAACATCTGTTATTTTTTGAAATTTTAATAAAAGCCATTCTGACTGGTGTGGTATCTCATTGTGGTTTTGATGTGCATTTCTCTGACGATTAGTGATGTGAGGCATTTTTTCATGTTTCTTGGCCGCTTGTATGTCTTTCAGACTCTTTCTGAGCAAAGTTTGCCAATGTCTATTTCTGAAGAGTCTGCATGGTCACCTATACTAGATTGGGTTAAAAAGAAAAACAATTTGAGAAATTAATATGATCATTATATGAAATGTTTTGCTAAACTTCAGGTTTCATAAACTCCATCTGAGGACACCCTGGCTATCTGTCAACTGTAAGGAGCAGCTCCCACATGGCATTGATCACAGACCCCCATGCACTTGGTCTCAGCTCTGAGAAATCACCTTAGCATGCAGAAAACTTTTCCCTGGCAGTCTCCATTTGGAAGGATACAATTCCCATTGAGCACCTTCCATCACACACTTAAGAGCCTTGATCATGTAATCTTCAGCACACACCAGCAGAGGGTAGGCTCGACGATGCATGCAGTAGGTGCAGGGTTGCCCAAATAAAGACCCTGGTTCCAAAAAATCCCAGAAACATTTTGTGGAAATCCCCTCTCAGTAGTAATTCATTTCAAACAGCAATTATAGCACACAAAAGAGTGTTTTTTCCCTTCTTCTCCTCCCCTTCCCTTCTCTTTGTTAATGGCCTTACTATCCCCTTATTTGGTCAGAAAGTACCCTTATATACATATGCTCAAATACATCCAAACTCCTGCCAAATCCTGTAGGTTCATACTGCTACTGTGCTTCTATCTTAAAATCTGATCCTTCTCATCTTTTCCTGCTAGCATGGCCTAGTTCATGTCAATTTTCCTTCCATCTATATTTGGATGTTTCTGCCTATATAGGTTAGGTGCTGGGATATTAACCTCCTCTGGTTTTACTGTGTCCCTTCAGATTAAGCCACATTAAACAAGCCACTAAAATTATCTCTTTAAAACCTCAGTGTGTTTACCATCTGAATGTAGCTCTGTGATGGAAAAATCATGTCTCTTTGATTATTGTGGTGTTCTAGACACTTAGAAGAGCTCTTGGGGGCACAATAGACATTATGTATGGATGTAGAGGAAAGGGAGATAATAAGGAAGACTCCCTTTTGGTTCTTATTTTGCACAAGAGGTGAACGCAAATAACATTCAATGGAAGTGGATAAAATTAAGGACATCTCAGAGATGTCTGTCCTCACCACATCCAAAGCCTAGGCTTTTGCTTTTGTAAACATGCATATTCTCTTTCTCTTCCTTCTTTTCTATTACTATCCAATTACAAAGATTTAGATTATTTGATCAACTAGCTGCATCAAAGCCAGGTTAACATTTAATGGTATATAATTGTCTATTTTTAAAAACACATATATATGCATTTACAATGTATCAGGCACTGTTCAAGTATTTTTTAGAAATGTTAACCCATTTAATCATCATAACAACCCCATAAGACATGTAAAATTATTATCCTTATTTTATACATGATAAAATTGAAGTACAGGAATATTAATGAATTTTCTCAAGGTTATATAGCTATTAAGCAGTAGAGCTGGGGGTTTGGGTTCAGAGGTTGAGTGGCTAACCATTGGGCATGCTGCCTCAAATTGAATACATTTGTCCAGAAAGGACATAAGTTCACAACAGGATGTCCCCATTACACAGCTCTGGCATTCAGTTCTAGCAAGAGTAGGGTTCTGGAAGGCCTCTTCCAAAAGAGGCTCAGGCCAGTATTCAGGATCAGGAGTTTCTTGTGATCTTCCAATATCCCCAACAGTGACAGTCAACAGTGCAGCACAGCATTCAGACATGTGAGACAGTGTTGCCTAAACAATGAGAATAAAAGCCTTAAATCCTGAGTAGAATTTCTGCAATTGATAGTAATAGTAATCATTGGCATTTATGGAGTATTATAGGTAATTTACAGAAATAAATTGATTTAACCTGCACAGAATCCCATAAGGTGGGTACAATCATCCAAGTTTTAAGATGAAGAAACTGAAGCACAGAAAAGTTAAAAAATTTCCCAAAGCCTTGCATGCTAGGAATTAGGGAAGCTAGGATATAACTCTTAATAGCCTGGCTCCAGACTTATTGTCATTAATTAACATATGATACTGCTATCCTCTGGAACTAGATTCCAGCCACAGCAGAGGAAAAAAAAAAAAGGTCTTTCACTCAGAGATTAAAGAGAAACTACCAGAGGGTTCCCCTAATTCTTCTTCACTCAACTTCCTCTATTCATGTCAAGAGAATTTTCCTAGGCCTTCAAGGACAGCAACCATACTGCCCAGTATGCCAGTCCTATACCTTGTCCTCTGCCCAATATACATAGAGATTTCAAAGAGACATAATATCATCATCCTATTTGCTGCTCTCCTACACTTTTCCCTATCCAGTCTGCAACCCCATAAAGAGTAGACTAATGCTCTCCCACAGGGAGCAAGTGCTGCTACTCACACTGGCCATGACTGGATCAGTAACTCCTCATTAAGACATCTTGTATATCCTCTCCTTTGGCACTTTCTGCTTTTCCTGCTTTCTGCCTCCTTGTGGTGAGCAGACCTGTGTAGGGTTCACCTTATCACCATATTGCCACATCTGTCTGCTCTTCCACCTCTGCTACCCCTGTGGATAGATGAGTGAATGACATGAAGACAGGGTCTGCCAAGCAATCCAATCTCTCTTTCTTATTTGCACTCCCACATCCTCACTCCCTGATCAGACCATTCTAATAATCTTCTCTCTAGTCCTCGGTTCCATCTTCAATAATACTTCTAAAGACTCCACTTAAAATACAAATCTGGTCATTTACATTTCTCTATCACATAAAACATAGTTCACTCATGATGGCCAATCTCTTATGCTGGTGAGGTACACAATCTTCCTTCAGCAAACCTTGTCCTTTCATTTGGATCATTCATTTAGAAAGCATCAATACCACGACTAATGCATTGGCTTGTCAAGGAGTCAGTTCTGGTTTTTCTCCCAGAATACACTTTCCATCCAAGCTATGTTGCCAGTAATAATTATACAGAAGTTCTTAAAGTGGTAGTTTCCAAAATTTTATGGATATTTTAACATGAAAACTTTAAAATTTTCTGACACTTGTGTCACACTCCATATACATTAAATCAGAATGTCTGCGGGGTAAGACCCAGACATTAGTATTTTCTGAAGATCAACAGGTAATTCCAACAAGCAGCAAAATTTAAGAACCACTGCCTTAAAAAATTAATCACTACTGTGTCTCACAGCAACAACAGAAGTATAGAAAAGCAGGGTATAGGTATTTAGATACTCTTAAGGAAGAACTGGCTCTGAAAATCAGAGGTACTGCCCTGGTAAAGCCAGAATGGATATCTCTGTGCTCACCAAATCTGAAGCCAATCAGGGATAGATGACAGATTTCTAGCTTTCACTGATTGGATTTACAGCTAGCCCATATGCCCTGTTCATAATCCCAGCAAGCCTGAAATTGCAGACAGTAAGGGGGAGGGAATTGGGGTTACTGATGAATGCATATACAAATAGTATAACTTCTATAGTTTCTCTCTCTGAAGTATCTGCCAAGGCCAGCCCTTCTTTAATATTCATGCCATCACTGCCATAGTTAAGGTCTTAAGCCCACTCTCTGGGTTGATTGCAACAGCTTCAGAGTTGATTCACCTATTTCCAAACTCCGTCACACTCATCATTTCCCTACACTGATCTTGTCCTGATCTTATTCAGGAGAAGAGTCAAGGACTATAGAAATAATTGTTTTTCTAGCAGAGAGAACACAATAGACCTGGAGGTGATAAAACGGTAATGAGGGCACCTATAAATAAATTACCCACATTCTTTTAGATTTACACTAATGGACATTATCTTCAGGACAGTTCTGGGTATGAATAGTACAGGAAAGTCCCACCTATAAACTGAAGGATAGAGCAGAGAAAATGAGGAAAGACAAACCAAGTAGGATCCTTAAAGCCTCAAGAGCCTCCTGCCCAGTCTCCCCTTACATTCCTGGGGAAATGTGAAAGCAGGGCCAGAAACTTCAGGTGTACAAGTTAGTAGCTCTTAATGTATGCGAGTGACCCACCTCAGGCAGAACAAAGCAGATTGACATTCTTCTGATTACTCAGTCTTTACTCAAAATGCTTGTGGTATATCGCAGGGCCAAAAGTCAAAGGCCTCTTGAGTAATAGTTTCTTTCCTTTGCTAAGAAATCCATTAAGTCCTCCAATTATTTTCAGCCTTTGAAATTTTTATTTTAAAAATTAAGTCTTTTTTCATATATAGTTCTATGAATTTTAACATATGTATAGATTCACATAACGACTGCCTCATTAGGATACAGTACTTTTCCACCACCTCCAAAATTCCTTTGTGCTATCCTTTTGTAGTCATACCTTCCCCCATCCTTAATTTTTGGCTACCAGTAATCTGCCATCAGTCACTATAACTTTATCGTTTCAAGACTGTCATACAAAACCAAACATAGAGTATGTGACATTTTGAGACTGGCATTCTTTTACTGAGCATAATGCCTTTTAGAATCATCCAACTTGTGTGTATCAATAGCTTATTCCAATTTGTTCCTGAATAGTATTTCATAGTATGGATGTAACAAAGTTTATCTAGTCACCTATGGAAGGACATTTGAGTTGTTCATACTCTTTATTTATTAATAAAAGTGCTGCTATAAACAATGTACAGTTTATTGTATAATCTTAAGTTTTCATTTCTCTAAATAAAACACCTAGGAGTGGGACTGCTGGGTCATATGAAAAGGACATGTTCAATTTTTTTAAATCCAAATTATTTGCCTGAGTTGAAGTACCACTTTGCATTCCCATCAGTAATTTATGAGAGTTCCAGTTTCTCTGCATCCTTGCATTGGTATGATCAATATTTTTATTTTAGCCATTCTAATATCTGTGCAATCTTATCTCATCACTGTCAGCACTTCCCTAAATGGCTAATGATATTGAACATTTTTCATGTGCATACTTTCCACCCATAGATCCTCTTTGGTAAAATGTCTGTTCATGTCCTTTGTCCATGTTCTAATTTGTTTCTTTTTCAATGTTGTGTTTTGAAAGTTCATTATGTGTTTTAGATAGAAGTTCTTTGTTGGAAATGTGATTGATGAATATTTTCTTCAGGTCTGTCACTTGACTTTTTATTCTCTTTAACAAAGATTTTGCAAAGTAAGAGTTTCCATTTTAATAAAGTCAATTTTATTCTTATTTCTTTTATGGATCAGGCTTTTGGTGTCATATCTGAGACATTTTTGCCAGACTCTAGGTCCTGAAGATTTCCTCCTTTCTATTATTCTACATGTTTTATAGTTTTATGTGTTACATTTAGATCTGGGATCCACTTTGACTTATTTCTATAAGGTATGAGGTGCATTTTTTTTTTTTTTTTTGCTTATGGATGTCTAGTTTTTCCAATACCATTTACTGAAGAGACTATCTTTTCTCCATTCAATTGCCTTTCCACCTTTGTTAAAAATCAACTGATCAGGGGAGGGGCCAAGATGGCCAAATAGAAACAACTCCAGTCTGCAGCTCCCAGCAAGACCAATGCAGAAAAGTGAGTGATTTCTGCATTTCCAACTGAGGTACCCAGTTCATCCAACTGGGACTGGTTAGGCAGTGGAAGCGACCCACAGAGAGTGAGTAGAAGCAGGGTGGGGCGTCACTTCATCTGGGAAGTGCACAGAGCCAGGGGACCTTCCTCCCCAGCCAAGGGAAGTGGTGAGGGACTGTGCTACCTGCCTGGGATACTATGCTTTTCCCACGGATTTCTGCAGTCTGTGGATCAGGAGATTCCCTCATGTGCCTACAGCATCAGAGTCCTGAGTTTCAAGCACAAAACCAGGGCAGGCACCGAGCTGCAGGAGTTTTATCCTACTCCAGTGGCATCTGGAACTCCAGTGAGAAAGGAGAACCATCCACTCCCCTGGAAAGGAGGCTGAAGCCAGGGAGCCAAGCAGTCTCGTTCAATGGGTCCCACTCCCACGGAGCCCAGCAAGCCAAGAAACACTGGCTTGAAATTCTCACTACCAGCACAGCACTCTGGAGTTGGCCTAGGATGATCAAGTTTCATAAGGGGAGGGGTGACTATCATTCCCATAACTTTAGTAGGCAGTTTGCCCCTTACAGCGCTAAGGAGACTGGGAGGTTTGGACTGGGCAAAATTCACCACAGAGCAGCAAAGCAGCTGCAGCCAGACTGCTCCTCTAGATTCCTCCTCACTGAGCAGGGCATCTCTGCAGGAAATCTGGCAGCTCCCATCAGGGTCTAACAGACAAAACTCTGATCTCCCTGGGACAGAGCACCTGGGGGGAGGGGAAGCTGCGGTAGCAGGTTCAGTGGACTTAATCTTTCCTGCCTGCCAGCTCTAAAGAGAGTGGCTGATCCTGACAAGCAGGATACTCCCAGCACAGGGCACCAGCTCTGCTAAGGGACAGACTGCCTCCTCAAGCAGGTCCCTGACCCCTGTGCCTCCTGACTGAGAGAGACCTCCCAACAGGGGTTAACAGACACCTCATACAGGAGAGCTCCGAGTGGCATCAGGCTGGTGTCCCGAAGCTTCTGGAGGAAAGAGCAGGCAGTAATCTGCTGTTCCGCAGCCTCCACTGATGATACCCAGGCAAACAGGGTCTGAAGGGGACCTCTAGCAAACTGCAGCAGACCTGCAGAAGAGAAACCTATTGGGGGAAAAAAACAAAACAACAACAACAAACCCAGAAAGCAACAACAACATCAACAGAAAAGAACCACCCCCCAACACACACATAAACCCCATCCAAAGATCATCAGCCTCAAAGATCAAAGATAGATAAATCCACAAAGATGAGGAAAAGCCAGCACAAAAACACTGAAAACCCAGAATGCCTCTTCTCCTCCTAATGGGTGCAACACCTCTCCAGCAAGGGTGCAAAACTGGACAGAGAATGAAATAGACAAACTGAAAGAAGTAAGCTTCAGAAGGTGGGTAACAACAAACTGCTGAGCTAAAGGAGCATGTCCTAAGCCAATGCAAAGAAGCTAAGAACCTTGATAAAAGGTTACAAGAGATGCTAACTAGAATAACCAGTTTAGAGAGGAACATAAACGACCTGATAAAGCTGAAAAACACAGCATGAGAACTTCGAGAAGCATACACAAGTATCAATAGCCTAATTGATCAAGAGGGAGGAAGGATATCAGAGTTCGAAGACAATCTTGCTAAAATAAGGCATGCAGACAAGATTAGAGAAAAAATAATGAAAAGAAATGAACAAGAAAACGTCCAAGAAATATTTGACTATGTATAAAGACTGAACCTACGATTGATTGGAGTACCTGAAAGAGATAGGTAGAATGAAACCAAGTTGGAAAACACACTTAAGGATATTATCCAGAACTTCCCCAGCATAGTGAGACAGGCCAACATTCAAATTCAGGAAATACAGAGAACACCACTAAGATACTCCACAAGAAAATCAACCCCAAGACACATAATGATCAGATTCTCCAAGGTCGAAAAAAAAAAAAAATGGAAAAAATGTTACGGGCAGCAAGAGAGAAAGGTCAGGTTACCTACAAAGGGAAACCCATCAGACTAACAGTGGATGTGTCAGCAGAAACCCTACAAGCCAGAGGAGAGTAGGGACCAATATTCAACATTCTTAAAGAATTTTTAACCCAGAATTTTATATCCAGCCAAACTAAGCTTCATAAGTGAAAAATAAATAAAATCCTTTCCAGACAAGCAAACGCTAAAGAATTTTGTCACCACCAGGTCTGCCTTGCATGGGCTCCTGAAATAAACACTAAATATAGACAGGAAAAACCAGTACCAGCCACTGCAAAAATGCACCAAAATATATAAAGGCCAATGACACTATGAGAAAACAGCATCAACTAGTGTGCTAAATCACTAGCTAGCATCATGATGACAGGATCAAATTCACACATAACAATATTAACCTTAAAAATAAAGAGGTTAAATGCCCCAATTAAAAGACACATATTGGCAAATGGGGTAAAGAGTAAAGACCTATATGTGTGCTGTATTCAGGAGACACATTTCACATGCAAAGACACAGATAAGCTCAAAATAAAGGGATAGAGAAACATTTACCAAGCAAACGGAAAGTTAAAAAAAAAAAAGCAGGGGTTGCAAACCCAGTCTCTGATAAAGCAGACTTTAGACTAACAATTATCAAAAACGACAAAGAAGGGCATTACATAATGGTAAAGGGATCAATGCAACAAGAAAAGCTGACTATCCCAAATACACATGCACCCAATACAGGAGAACCCAGATGCATATAACAAGTTTTTAGAGACCTACAAAGAGGGGTAGACTCCCACACAATAATAGTGGGAGATTTCAACACCACACTGTTAAAGATCAATGAGACAGAAAACTAACAAGAATATTCAGGACTTGACCTCAGCTCTGGGTCAAGTGAACCTAATAGATAGGTAAGGAACTCTCCCCCCAAAATCAACAAAATATACATTCTTCTCAGTGCCACATGACACTTATTCTAAAATTGACCACATAATTGGAAGTAAAACACTCTAAAAATGCAAAATAACTGAAATTATAACAGTCTGACAACAGTGCAATCAAATTAGGACTTAGGATTAAGAAACTCATACAAAACCACACAACTATATGGAAATTGAACAACCTGCTCCTGAATAACTCCTGGTAAATATTGAAATTAAGGCAGAAATCAAGAAGTTCTTTGAAACCAACGGGAACAAAGAGACAATGTACTAATAAAGTGAGTGAGAGTCTCAAAGGGGGGAAATGAGAGAAGAGAAAAACGCTCTCAGATAGTTTTATATTGTTTTATACTCAATATCTGTCTTAAAAAAAAAAGGAAGCAAAACAAAAGGCAGGCAGCCTGGCACTGAGAACTGGACCCAAACCAGGCCTGGGCCTGCCTGGCCCAAGCCTAGTAGTTAAAATTCAACCCCTGACCTAGCCACTGATGTTATCTATAGATTCCAGACATTGTATGGAAGGACATTGTGAAACTTCCTGCTCTGTTCTGCTTCACTTTGACTACTGGTGCATGCAGCTCCTGTCACGTACCCCCTAGCTTGCTCAATCAGTCACGACCCTCTCGTGTGAAACCTTTAGCATTGTGAGCTCTTAAAAGGGACAGAAATTGTGCACTCAGGGAGCTCGGATTTTAAGACGCTAGTCTGCCAACACTTCCAGCTGAATAAAGCCCCTTCCTTCTACAACTTGGTGTCTGAGGGGTTTTGTCTGTGGCTTGTCCTGCTACATTTCTTGGTTCCCTGACTGGGAAATGAGGTGATTAACTGACAGACGGTCGAGGCAGCTCCTTAGGTGGCTTACACTTCCCTGTGGAGCATCCCTGCGGGGGACTCTGGCCAGCTTGAGCAATGCGGATCCTGAAAGGGCTCCTGGGTAGGCCTTTTCCCCGGTGGAACACATCATCAGAGCGGTGCATGGCAGGTCCCCACAGAGGATCAACGTAGTTGCTGAACACCAGGAAGGAGCTGGCACTTGGAGTTCGGACATCTGAAACTCGGTAAGACTGGGCTTTGGAACTTGCCCACTCCATTTGAGTGGAAGCGTGGCCTGATCACCCACGACATGCCTGTACCAGCACTTTGGTTTTTATTTTTGACTTGACTTGAACTGCTTGATACTTTGGTTTTGGTTTTGATCTGGCTTGGTTTTCTTGATACTCTGGTTTTGGTTTTGATTCTGGTTTGGTATAAACTGTAAAAGTGTGTGTGTGCCCTTTTTACCCATTCTTTGTTTTGTGGTGTGTATGTGGTGTGAGTGTAGTGTTTTTTTCTTGAGGAAGCATGGGGCTATTCTGTAAAAAAAAAAAAAAAAAAAGGATGATTTAACTTTAACCACTGAAAATTCCCTTAACCCACCAGGTTTCCTAACAGGAGATCTAAATCTTAATTGACATACAAAGGTCCAACCAGACCTAGGAGGAACTCACTTCAGGACAGGACGATAGATGGTTCCTCCCGGGTAATTGAAGGAAAAAAAAAATAGCCATCTATACCAATTCTAAGTTAGTTTGGACTAAACAAGGTCTTATTAATAGCAAAGGATAATTGAAATCCCAAACTTACAAGGTTTTCAACAAAAGTAAAGTTTGCTAAAAGTTAACAGTGTAACATGTATTATAGTAATTTCTAATCTTGTGGCCTTAGACAGTCTAGTCCACAGACATAAAGGAAGTTCGCTGTGGAAAGAATGGTTATCTTCGATAAAAGGGAAAAAAGGAGGGGGCAAAATTTATGTAAAAAAAGTTATATGGTAAATTCTTCTCCTGAAATAAATTAACTGGTTGTTTAAAGAAAAAAAAGTTTGTAATAAGTCAGAAAGTTAAAACATGTTGAAGAATTGCCTGTAAAAGTCACGAAAAAAAATTATTTTAAAAGTGTGTTAGAAAAAGAATTTATGCAAGAAATGTTGTATAATTTAAAAGTAATTAGGCCTCCTGAATGTAAAGCTATTGAAGAAACAGCAAGGTGTATAAGAAAAGTAAAGTATACCTTTGGTAAAGGGATTATAAGGAGGCATAAGAATGTGGACTTTTACCTATATTAAAAGGTTAAAAAATTGTTGTAAAGGTTTAAGCAAGTTTTAAGATGTTAATTGTGTGTAAATTATGTGTGTAAAAATATTAGCTAAAGTTAAAGGGGTATCATCCAGTTTTTCTGTGAACTGGACATTAAAGTAAAAACACAATGGGTTTTTCTTAAAGCACTAACCTGCTCTTCAACAAAGATTATAAAAGTTTGAAAAAAGGTCTACAAAAACCTTACCTTATGGTCTGACATTAAAAGTTGAATACATATGTCTACAAAGTTTTATTAAAACTAAGTTTAACATTAATGACACACTAATATAAAGGTGAAATTTAGCTTATCTGGTATAAACATCATACAAAAAGCATTATTAAATATAAAATGGTGTTTGGCTTTCTTTGGTCTAAAAACTAAAAATAGGTGCTAAAATAAATTTCTCAGTAAGAAGGCACCAAAGACTATAAAGTCCACTGTTGATGTCCCCACATTTAAAACAAAAGGTCAGTCTCTTAGAAATTATATACTTGGTTTATCTTCCACTTTCTTTTCCCTCAAAACTAAAAGTCTTGTAGCACAGGTAGCACCCCTAGAATTTCCGGTAAACCAGTGCCAGCCTGAAGATCACCTTCTAATCAAAGGGAGGAAAGAAGAAAAACTCGAGCCAGCCTAGGAAGGACCCTACCTTGTGCTACTAACCACCGAGACTGCTGTTCGTACAGCAAAAAAGGGATGGACTCATCACACCCCAGTCAAAGCCCCACCCCCTTGAGTTGTGGGCCACAGTCCCAGGGGAATAGCCTACCAAACTAAAGCTAAGAAAAATTTAACTCTTTCATCTATGCTATTACTCTTTCTTCTTTCATCGCTCTATTGCTGACCATCTAGTTATTAACATAACCAAGTCAACTTCACCTCAAACTATTGCATTTAATGCTTGCCTTGTTATACCCTGTGGGGACTTGCCAAGTCAAAGACAGCTCTCTACCTCAGAAAAGTACCCCTGTCCCTCCTGACTCTCCTCAGGTTAGGCATTAGTAAATTAGGACAATTTAATCCGGGAAAATTTCGATAAAGACTCCAGTGTCAACCAGGAGTCTTGCCACTCAATGTAGAGCTTTTATGCCATAGTTGGTCCAACATTCTGTGGACCACTAAAGAGCAAGGATGGACTGCCCCAACCGGTTTTTGTAATTTCCTAAAATCATACATTTTTTTTACTAGAGGATCATAGAAGTTAAAGACTTAAACTTTGGCAATTAAGACAAGATACCAAGATGCAAATGCCTGGTTGGAATGGATCAAATATTCCATCCGCACATTAAACAAAAGCCCAGATTGTCCCCTTTCCACTAAGGTGGTCCTCCAGTCGACCAGGTGTGGGCTGCATGGTAGCTTTTTTCCAGGATTCTACAGCCTGGAGTAATAAGTTGTGCCAAGCTCTCTCTGCTTTATCCTGAAGTCCAGCACCCTGCAGGTCAGCCCCCAAGGGCCATCCAGCTTCTGTCTCCCAACACTAAGTTCACCTCGTGTCTCTCACGACAGGGAGGAAACTTAGCATTCCTTGGAGACCTGAAGGGATGCAGTGAGCTTAAGAATTTTCAAGAGCTTATCAATCAGTCAGCCCTTGTTCATCCCCAAGCGGATGTGTGGTGGTATTGTGGTGGACCTTCACTGAGCACTCTGCCAAATAGCTGGAGTGGCACTTGTACTTTAGTCCAATTGGCTATCCCTTTCACCCTGGCATTTCATCAACCAGAGGGAAGAATAAGACATCGTAAAGCGAGAGAAGCCCCTTATGGGTCTTTCAACTCTCATGTCTATTTAGATGCAACTGGAGTCCCACGGGGAATACCAGATCAATTTAAAGCTTGAAATCAAATAGCTGCAGGATTTGAGTCAATATTTTGGTGGGTGACAGTTAATAGAAATGTAGATTGGATAAACTACATCTATTACAACCAAGAGCAATGAGCTTTTCATGAGTTAAAAGAAAAACTGATGTTGGCCCCAGCCCTGGGGCTACCTGACCTGACAAAACCCTTTACACTCTATGTGTCAGAAAAAGAAAAAATGGCAGTTGGAGTTTTAACCCAGACTGTGGGGCCCTGGCCAAGGCCAGTGGCCTATCTCTCAAAACAACTAAATGGGGTTTCCAAAGGCTTGACCCATGTCTAAGGGCCCTGGCAGCAATGGCCCTGTTAGCACAAGAAGTAGATAAACTAACCCTTGGGCAAAACCTGAATATAAAGGACCCCTATGCTGTGGTAACTTTGATAAATACCAATGGACATCAATGGTTAACAAATGCTAGATTAACCAAGTACCAAAGTTTGCTATGTGAAAATCCCCGCATAACCACTGAAGTTTGCAACACCCTAAACCCCAACGCCTTGCTCCCAGTATCAGAGAGCCCAGTTGAACATAACTGTGTAGAGGTATTAGACTCAGTTTATTCTAGTGAGCCCAACTTCCAAGACCATCCTTGAACATCAGTAGACCGTGAGCTGTACATGGACAGGAGCAGCTTCACCAACTCCTGCAAAGTGACTGAAGAAGAGGACAAGCGCTGCTCCAGTCACACGCAGAAGCTGACTGGCCCACACATGGCCGAAGCATGAGAAAACTCATCGCAGGACTCATTTTCCTTAAAATTTGGACTTGTACAGTAAGGACTTCAACTGACCTTCCTCAGACTGAGGACTGTTCCCAGTGTATACATCAAGTCACTGAGGTAGGACAAAAGGTTGCTACAGTCCTATTATTTTATGGTTATTATAAGTATACTGGAACTCTAAAAAGAACTTGTTTGTATAATGTTATTCTATACAAGGTATATAGCCCAGGAAATGACCAACCTGATGTGTTATGACCCATCTGAGCCTCCCATGACCACAGTTTTTAAAATAAGACTAAGGACTGAGGACTGGTGGGGGCTCATAAACTATATGAGTAAAGTGTTAGCCAAAACAGAAGAAAAAGGGGTGCCCAAAGAAGTCACCTTAAAATTTGATGCCTGTGCTGTCATTAATAGTAATAAGTTAGGAATAAGATGTGGTTCTCTTAATTAGAAAAGAGGCTATATGGCAGAAAATAAGTACATTTGTCATGAATTAGGCCTGTGTGAAAATGAACGTGGATACTGGTCTTGAGTCATTTAGGCTACTTGGATAAAAAATGAAAAAAATCCTATCCACCTTCAGAAAAGGAAAAGTGGCCCTTCCTGTACCAGTGGTCAGTGTAACCCCTTAGAACTAGTAATAACCAACCCCCTTAAACCTCGCTAAGAAAAAAGAGAGCGTGTAACCCTAGGAATCGATGGAGCTGGACTGGATCCTCAAGTAAATATCGTGGTTTGAGGAGAAGTTTATAAACGCTCTCCTGAGCCAGTATTTCAAAGCTTCTATGATGAACTGAATGTGCCAGTACCAGAAATTCCAGGAAAAACAAGAAATGTGTTTTTGCAATTAGTCGAGCATGTATCCCAGTCTCTCAATGTCACTTCATGCTATGTATGTGGAGAAACTGTAATAGAAAATCAATGGCCATGGGAAGCCTGAGAATTAGTACCTACAGACCCAGTTCCTGATGAATTCCCAGCCCAAAAGAATCACCCTGCTAATTTCTAGGTTCTAAAAGTGTCAATTACTGGAAAATATTGCATAGCTAGAGAAGGCAAAGAATTCACTCATCCTGCAGGACAACTTAGTTGTCTGGGACAGAAGCTGTATAATAGTACCACAAACAACAACAACAACAAAAACAGCCACCTAGTGGAGTTCATACCAGACTAAGAAAACTCCATTTAGTAAATTTCCAATGTTGCAAACTGTGTGGACCCACCTGAAGTCCCACCAGGAGTGGAGAGCCCCAACTGGATTATACTGGATATGTGGGCATAGAGTTTACGCCAAATTACCCAACCAGTGGGCAGATAATTGTGTTATTGGCACTATTGAACCATCTTTCATCCTACTGCCCATAAAGAAAGGCAAACTCCTGGGCTTCCCTGTCTATGCTTCCCGCAAAAAAAAAACAAAACAAACAAACAAAAAAAACACCATAGCTATAAAAAAAATTAGAAAAATAATGAATGCCCCCCCCCCCCGAGAGAATCATACAATACTATGGGCCTGCTACTTAGGCACAAGATGGCTTGTGGGGATACCAGACTCCCATTTGCATGCTCAACCAAATCATACAGTTACAAGCTGTCTTAGAAATAATCACTAATAAGACTGGCAGAGGCTTGACTATTCTGGCCCAGGAAGAAACTCAGATGAAAAATGCTATCTATCAAAATAAATTGGCTCTCGACTACTTGCTAGAAGCTAAAGGAGGAGTTTGTAGGAAATTTAACCTTACTAATTGCTGGCTACACATAGAAAATCAAAGACAGGCAGTTGAAGATACAGTAAAAGACATAACAAAACTGGCACATGTGTCTGTATAAGTGTGGCACAGATTTGCCCCTGGGGCCATGTTTGAAAGGTACTTCCCAGCACTACGAAGATTTAAAACCCTAATAATAAGAATTATAATAATAATAGGAACCTGCTTACTGCACCCTTGTCTACTACCTATACTAATTCATGTAATAAAAAGCTGCTACCCTAGTTCATCAAAATGCTTCAGCACAAGTGTACTATATGAATCACTATCAGTCTATCATACAGGAAGACATAAGTAGTGAAAATGAAAGTGAGAACTCACACTAATAAAGTGAGTGAGAGTCTCAAAGGGGGGAAATGAGAGAAGAGAAAAACTCTCTCAGATTGTTTTATACTCAATATGTCTTGAAAAAAAAAAAAAGAAGTGAAACAAAAGGCAGGGAGCCCAGCGCTGAGAACCAGACCCAAACCAGGCCTGGGCCTGCCTGGTCTAAGCCTAGTAGTTAAAATTCAACCCCTGACCTAGCCACTGATGTTATCTATAGATTCCAGACATTGTATGGAAGGACATTGTGAACCTTCCTGCTCTGTTCTGTTTCACTCTGACTAGCGGTGCATGCAGCCCCTGTCATGTACTCCCTAGCTTGCTCAATCAGTCACGACCCTCTCATGTGAAAACTTTAGCATTGTGAGCCCTTAAAAGGGACAGAAATTGTGCACTCAGGGAGCTCGGATTTTAAGACGCTAGTCTGCCAATGTTTCCAGCTGAATAAAGCCCCTTCCTTCTACAACTTGTTGTCTGAGGGGTTTTGTCTGCGGCTTGTCCTGCTACAACCTGACAAAAACAAGTAATGGGGAAAGAATTCTCTCTTAAATAAATGGTGTTGGAAAAACTGGAAGTCATATGCAGAAAACAGAAACTGGACCCCTTCCTTACACCTTATACAAAAATTAACTCAAGATGGATTAAAGACTTAAATGTAAAACCCCAAACCATAAAAACCTTAGAAGAAAACCTAGGTAATACCATTCAGGACATAGGCATGGGCAAAGACTTCATGATGAAAACACCAAAAGCAATTGCAACAAAATCCAAAATTAACAAATGGAATCTAACTGAACTAAAGTGCTTCTGCACAGCAAAAGAAACTATCATCAGAGTGAACAGGTAACCTATAGAATGGGAGAAAATTTTTGCAATCTATCCATCTGACAAAGGTCTAATATCCAGAATCTACAAGGAACTTAAATTTACAAGAAAAAAACAAACACCACCATCCAAAAGTGGGCAAAGGATATAAACAGACACTTCTCAAAAGAAGACATTTATGTGGTCAATAAACATATGAAAAAGAGCTCAACATCACTGATCATTACAGAAATGCAAATCAAAACCACAATCAGATACCATCTCATGCCAGTCAGAATAGCAATTATTAAAACGTCAAGAAACAATAGATGCTGGCGAGGCTGTGAAGAAATAGAAATGCTTTTACACTGTTGGTGGGCACGTAAATTAGTTCAACCATTGTGGAAGACAGTGTGGCGATTCCTCAGGGATTTGGGACCAGAAATCCTATTTGACCCAGCAATCTCATTGCTGGGTATATACCCAAAGGATTATAAATCATTCTACTATAAAGACACATGCACATGTATGTTTATTGCAGCACTATTTACAATAGCAAAGACATGGGAACCAACCCAAATGCCCATCAATGATAGACTGAATAAAGAAAATATGGCACATATACACCAGGGAATCCTATGCAGCCATAAAAAAAGAATGAGATCATGTGCTTTGCAGGGACATGGATGAAGCTGGAAGCCATCATTCTCAGCAAACTAACACAGGAACAGAAAACCAAACACCACATGTTCTCACTCATAAGTGGGAGTTGAACAATGAGAACACACTGAAATGGGGAGGGGAATATCACATTGCAGGGCCTGTTGAATGGTGGAGGGCAAGGGGAGGGAGAGTATTAGGACAAATACCTAATGTATGTAGGGCTTAAAACATAGATGATGGGTTGTTTGGTGTAGCAAACCACCATGGCACATGTATACCTGTGTAACAAACCTGCACGTTCTGCACATGTATCCTGGGACTTAATGTAAAAAAAAAAATCAATTGGTCATATTTGTTAGGTCTATTTCCAGACTCTCTATTTCGTTCCATTAATCTATGTGTCTATCCATTCACCAACACCATGAAGTCTTGAATAAGTAGGTCTTTAATTTAAGTGTTGTGATTCATCCAACTGTATTCTATTTTCCCCCAATTTTCCTGACTATTCTAGTTCCTTTGCCTCCCCATAAAAAAATTACAAACAGCTTTCTATATTTAAAAAGAATCCCCATGGCATTTTAATGGCAATGATGTTAAATCGGTATATAAATCTACATAGAATTGACATTTTTACTATGTTGTATCTTCCATTCCAAGAACATTGTTATGTTTCTCCATTTATTTAGGTCTTCTTTGATTTTTTATGAACATTTAATACTTCTAAGCATAAAAATTCTTTAAATGTTTTGTTAGGTTTATACATATTTTGGTCTCTTTGAGCATATTTGAATAGTATTGTAATTTTAGTTTCAGTTTCCAATTGTTTACTGCTAATATATAGAAATACAGTTGCTTGAGACCTTGTATCTGAAGTTATTAGACCTACCCTTTATGCAACCTTATCTCAACTGTTTTCATGACTTCCAACAACCCCTGGCTATCACTTGTGGTCCTCTACAAGGAATCTTCAGGATCAAAATAACTAGTCTGGGGGACTATCACCACCAGGCTGTCCTCTCAGCAGGCACATCTCCCACCATGTCTAAATAAACAGACATCCTATTTGGAAGTTAGCTTCCCATAAAACTCACTAACCTGCCCAAAGGAAAAAAAAAAAACGTCCTGATAAGGCCATTTCTTACCTGACACAGCAGCTACCACGAGAGACTAAGATTTGATCATTTATAGTTATTTCACTCCAGAGGCCTAAAGATTGAGCCATAGGCCTATGACCTAGCTCCCGAATCATCAGCAAATACTTTAGAGTACAGTCTGCCACACAGACAGACACATAGGCAGCTGGAACTGCCTAATAAATAGAGAAAATTAATAAGATCTAATATTTGATAGCACAACAGGGTAACTATAAGTAGTAATTTAATTTTACACTTAAAAATAACTAAAAGTATAATTGGATTGTTTATAACACAAAGAATAAATACTTGAGGTAATGGGAAGAAAATAAAATAGAGAACTTCTCAAGGAAACGGTGAGAGACATCGTCAGGAAAATATAGAATAATCAGGCTATTTTAAAGTCCTTTAATTCCCCCATAAGCTAAGGAAAACTATCTAGGAAATATCTTTAGCTCCCATACTCTATGGTGGTGAAGGCAGGAGTATATTGAATGTATCATGTCTCAGAAGTTCTGATTTTCCTCTCCTCACACTGCTTCTACATAAGGAAATATGTCCTTAGAGACTTTGAGTCTGTGTATATATCAGTGAGGGAAAGGTTATGTAAAGGAAGGGCCTATTCTTAAAACCACAAAGAGAACCACTAAGGCAAACTGATATAAGGCAGGAACCTCTGGGGTCTAATAATCACTCATTCAGTCTCCCCTAAAATTGGTGTGGCAATTTTTAGGAAGATAAGGTACATAGGTGACAACTGCTGTTTTGTGGGCTACTACATTTATTGTCCTAGAAGACTGAAATTGTATAGGGTCCCCCCAACAATCTCAGCACCTAGGCAGCTAGAGGACAACAGACTTTGGGCCCAGATATAAAGTAGCTATCTTTACCCTCAAGGGTCAGTGTGTGCCTGCCCATGACTGGGCCCTCCACACATCACTCAGTATTCATAAAATATCCAGTCTCCATCTTTTGCACCCTGACTCACACATTATCATGGCAGAGCACCAACTATGGACAGTGCCGTAATATAGTTTGGATATTTGTCCCTGCCCAAATCTCAGGTTGAATTGCAATACCCCATCCTGGAGGTTAGGGCCTGGTGGGAAGTGTTTGGTTCATAGGGATGGATCTCTCATGACTTGGTGTTGTCTTGGTGATAGTGAGTTCTCACAAGCTCTGGTCATTTAAAAGTGTGTGGCACCTTCCCCTCACTCACTATCTGTTGCTCCTGCTTTCACTACATAATATGCAAGCTCCTGCTTAACCTAATGTCATGAGTAAAAGCTCTGTGAGGCCTCCCCAGAAACCACGTGATGTCAATTCTATACTTGCTGTACAGCCTGCAGAACTGTGAGCCAATTAAACCTCTTTTCTTTATAAATTACCCAGTCTTAGGTATTTCTTTATAGGAACGCAAAAACAGAGAATTTTGTCGGGATCATGGGACTAGATTGCAACTCTGGACAGAGCAGCATGTGGAGGCTTGCACTGTGCATTTTAGCTCCAGATCAACTGCAAGAACAAACGGGCAATACTGAGAGGACTCACAGACCCTCTGAAGGAAGTGGACTGCTCCTGCAGGACCCCAGAGACACCCCAAATACGGTGAGTGCCCCAACTGTGGAAGTAGGAAAGGGAGACCCTCCTCTCCTGAACACACAGCTGAAGGTCTGTTTGCAAGAGAAGTTTCTGACTTTACCTGGAGCTGAGTCAAGTCAGAGTGCCAAACCAAGTGAAATACAGGGGTAGAGGGAGCAGCAGAAAGGCCCCAGGAGATCGCGAGATCCCCAAGCAGCCCATTCCTGCCTGGTACCACAAGGATCCATTACAAGGGTGGCCAGAGGCGCAGGGAGTAAAACTCTACAGAAAGAAGGAATTCTCTAGCTGAACTCTGTAACAATTTGAAAGGGTGAGAAGCCTCTTGGCCAGAACTCTGGGGTGGGGGAAGAGGCACAAATCCCGCTTGCAGACTTCACAGGTGGTGGAAGAACTAAAGCTCTTTTCTTTTGCAGCTGGGAGGTGGAAAGTATCCAGCAAGTTTTCAAGCCTGTCTCACCCTCTGCCTGGAAACAGACTCGGGGCTGTTGTGGGCTGCACAGTGGGACTGAGAATGGCCCTCTGGTTTATGTGGCAGCTGGGTGAGGCCTGTGACTGCTGATTTTCCCCCACTTCCCTGACAACCTGCATGACCCAGCAGAGACAGCCACAGTCCTCCTAGGTACACAATTCCTGTGACTTGGGAATCTCAACCCCATCCCCCACAGCAGCTGCAGCAAGACCAGCCCAAGGAGACTCTGAGCTCAGACATGCCTAGCCCCACCCCCACCTGATGGTCTTTCCCTACCCATCCTGGTAGCAGAAGACAAAGGGCATATAATCTTGGGAGTTCTAGGGCCCCACCCACTGCTGGTTGTTCTCCACAGTACTACAGCTGATGCTATCTGGAAAGCACTACCTCCTGGCAGGAGACAACCAGCACAATAATAGAGCATTAAACCACCAAAGTTAAGGACCCTCACAAAGTCCACTGCACCTTCTGCCACCTCCACCAGAACAGGCACTGATATCTACAGGTGAGAGACCCATAGAGAGTTCACATCACAGGACTCTGTGCAGACCCCAGTACCAGTCCAGAGCTGGGTAGACTCACTGGGTGGCTAGATCCAGAAGAGAAACAACAAGCACTGCAGTTCGGCTCACAGGAAGCCACATCCACAGAAAAACGGGGAGAGTACAACATCAAGGGAACAATCCGTGGGACAAAAAATCCTGAACAACAGCCTTCAGCCCTAGACTGTCAGGCTTCTGAGCCGAAGCTCAGCCATTGTAACCCCTGTGACCTGCACATATATGTCCAGATGGCCTGCAAGAGCCAAGAAGTCTGGGGCAACCCAAAACTACAGAAGAAGTAAAACAGCCAGCTCTTGTCTTAACTGATTGACCAACCTTACAACATTCCATTATGACTTGTTCCTGCCCTGCCCCAACTGATTGATCAACCTCGTGACATTCTTCTTCTGGGCAATGAGTCTTATGATCTCCCCACCATGCACCTTGTGACTCCCTCCTCTGCTGACTGTAACTTTCCACTGCTTACCCCAGTCCTATAAAACTGCCCCACCCCTATCTCCCTTTGCTGACTCCTTTTTCGGACTCAGCCCACCTGCATCCAGGTGAAATAAACAGCTTTATTGCTCACAGAAAGCCTGTTTGGTGGACTCTCTTCACACGGACGCATATGACATTTGGTGCCAAAGACCTGGGACAGGAGGACTCCTTCGGGAGACCGTTCCCATCCTCGCCCTCACTTCGTGAGGAGATACATCTATGACTTCAGGTCCTCAGACCAACCAGCCCAAGGAACATCTCATCAATTTCAAATCAGGTAAACAGTCTTTTCACTCCCTTCTCCAGCCTCTCTCGCTACCCTTCAATCACCCTGTCCTTCCAATTCCAGTTCTTTTTCCTCTCTAGTAGAGATAAAGGAGACACATTTTATCTGTGGACCCAAAACTCCGGTGCCAGTCACGGACTCGGGAAGACAGTCTTCCCTTGGTGCCTAATCACTGCGGGGACCCCTGCCTGATTATTCACCCACATTTCAGAGGTGTCTGATCACCACGGGGACGCCTGCCTTGATTCTTCACCTTAGTGAATAATCCAGTACTAGAGTCCATAAAAACTCCCCTGGGTGGCAAGTACCACCACCCACCTCCATGTCTCTACCCTCTCTTTTCTCTGGGCTTGCCTCCTTCACTACGGGCAACCTTCTACCCTCAATTCCCTCTTCTTCTCCCTTAGCCTGTGTTCTTAAAAACCTAAAACCCCTTCAACCAACACCTGACCTAAAACCTAAACGTCTTATTTTCTTCTGCAATACCGCTAGGCCCAAACACAAACTCAACAGTGGTTCCAAATGTTCAGAAAATGGCACTTTTGATTTCTCCATCTTACAAGACCTGGATGATTTTTGTCGAAAAATGGGCAAATAGTCTGAGATGCCTGACATCCAGGCATTCTTTTACACATTTGTCCCTCCCTAGTCTCTGCTCCCAATGCGACTCATCCCAAATCTTTCTTCTTTCTCTCCTGTCTGCCCTTCACCCCAAGCTCTGAGTCCTTTGAATCCTCCTTTGCTATGGACTCATCTGACCTCTCCCCTCCTCCCCAGGCTGCTCCTTGCCAGGCCAAGCCAGGTCCCAATTCTTCCTCAGCATCCGCTCCCCCACCATATAATCCCTCTATCACTTCCCCTCCTCACAACCAGTCCGGCTTACAGTTTCATTCTGTGACTAGCCCTCCCCCAACCTGCCCAACAATTTCCTCTTACAGAGGTGGCTGGAGCTGAAGGCATAGTCAAGGTTAGTGTTCCTTTTTCTTTATCTGACTTCTCCCAAATCAGTTAGTGTTTAGGCTCTTTTTCATGAAATATGAAAACCCAGCCCAGTTCATGGCCTGTTTGGCAACAACCCTTAAATGCTTTACCACCCTAGACCCAGAGGGGCCAGAAGGCCGCATTATTCTCAATATGCATTTTATTACCCAATCCGTTCCCGAAATAAAGCTCCAAAAATTAGATTCCAGCCCTAAAACCCCACAAAAGGACTTAATTAACCTCGCCTTCAAGGTGTACAATAACAGACAAGAGGCAGCCAAATGGCAACGTATTTCTGAGTTGCAATTACTTGCCTCCCCTGTATGAGAAACGCCAGCCACATCTCCAGCACACAAGAACTTCAAAATGCCTAAACTGTAGCAGCCAGGCATTCCTCCAGGACCTCCTCCCACAGGATCTTGCTTCTAGTGCCAGAAATCTGGCCACTGGGCCAAGGAATGCCCGCAGTGCAGGATTCCTCCTAAGCCATGTCCCATTTGTGTGGGACCCCACTGGAAATTGGACTGTCCAACTCACCCAGCAGCCACTCCCAGAGCCCCTGGAACTCTGGCTCAAGGCTCTCTGACTGACTCCTTCCCAGATCTTCTCGGCTTAGTAGCTGAAGACTGACACTGCCTGATTGCCTTGGAAGCCTCCTGGACCATCACAGACACTTTGGCTAACTCTTACAGTGGAGGGTAAGTCCATCCTCTTCTTAATCAATAAGGAGGCTACCCACTCCACATTACCTTCTTTTCAAGGGCCTGTTTCCCTTGCCTCCATAAATGTTGTGGGTACTGACAGCCAGGATTCTAAACCTCTTAAAACTTCCCAACTTTGGTGCCAACTTGGACAATATTCTTTTATGCACTCCTTTTTAGTTATTCCCACCTGCTCAGCTCCCTTGTTAGGTCGAGACATCTTAAAATATCTGCTTCCCTGACTATTCCTAGGCTACAGCCACACCTCATTGCCTCTCTTTCCCCCAGTTTAAAGCCTCCTTTGCATCTTCCTCTTGTATCCCCCCACCTGAACCCACAAATATGGGATATCTCTACTCCCTCTCTGGCAATCTACCACACGCCTACTAAAACCTTTACCCTTACCCTGCTCAACGCTAATACCCCATCCCACAGCAGGCTTTAAAAAGCTTAAAGCCTGTTATTACCCGCCTGTTACAACATGGCCTCTTAAAGCCTACAAAATCTCCTTACAACTCTCCTATCCTAACTGTCCAAAAACTGGCCATTCTTACAGGCTGGTCCAGGATCTTCGCCTTATCAACCAAATTGTCTTGCCTATCCACCCTTTGGTGCCAAGCCCATATACTCTCCTATCCTCAGTACCTCCCTGTACAACCCATTATTCTGTTCTGGATCTCAAACATGCTTCCTTTACTATTCCTTTAGACCCTTCATCCCAGCCTCTCTTTGCTTTTACCTGGACTGATCCTGACACCCATCAGTCCCAGCAGCTTACCTGGGCTGTACTGCCTCAAGGCTTCTGGGACAGCCCCCATCACTTCAGCCAAGCTCTTTCTCATGATTTACTTTCTTTCCACCCCTATGCTTCTCACCTTATTCAATATATTGATGACCTTCTACTCTGTAGTCCCTCCTTTGAGTCTTTTCAACAAGATACCCTTCAGCATTTATTTTCCAAAGATAATGGGTATCCCCCTCCAAAGCTCAAATTTCTTCCACATCTGTTAACTGCCTCGGCATAATTCTTCTTGAAAACATGCATGCCCTCCCTGCCGATCATGTCCAGCTGATCTATCAAACCCCAACACCTTCTACAAAGCAACAACTGCTTTCCTTCCTGGGCATGGTTGGACACTTCAACCTTTGGATAACTGGTTTTGCCATCCTAACAAAACCATTTATAAACTCACAAAGGAAAACCTAGCTGACCCCATAGATCCTAAATCCTTTCCCCACTCCTCTTTCCATTACTTAAAAACAGCCCTAGAAGTTGCTCCCACACTAGCTCTCCCTAACTCATCCCAACCCTTTTTCATTACACAAAGCCGAAGTGCAGGGCTGTGCGGTAGGAATTCTTACAAAAGAGCCGGGACCGCGCCCTGTAGCCTTTCTGTCAAAACAACTTGACCTTACTGTTTTAGGCTGGCCTCCACATTATTCCTGATACCTCACCTGACCCCCATGACTATATCTCTCTGATCCAGCTGGCATTCACTCCATTTCCCCATATTTCCTTTTATCCTTCTCCTTACCCTGATCACACGTGGTTTATTGATGGCAGTTCCACCAGGCCTAATCGCCACTCACCAGCAAAGGCAGGCTATGATATAGTATCTTATACATCTATCATTGAGGCTACCGCTCTGGTCCACTCCACTACCTCTCAGCAAGCCTAACTCATTGCCTTAACTTGAGCCCTCACTCTTGCAAAAGGATTGCGTGTCAATATTTATACTGGCTTTAAATATGCCTCTGACGTCCTGCACCACCATACGGGCTGAAAGAAGTTTCCTAGTGAGCAAGGGTCCTCCATCATTAATGCCTCTTTAATAAAAACCCTTCGCAAGGACGCTTTACTTCCAAAGGAAGGTGGAGCCATTCACTGCAAAGGCCATCAAAGGACCTCAGACCCCACTGCTCAAGGCAACAGTTATGCTGATAAGACAGCTAAAGAAGGAGCCAGTATTCCTACTTCTGTCCCTCATGGCCAGTTTCTCTCTTTCTCATTAGTCACTCCTACTTACTCTCCCACTGAAGTTTCCACCTATAAATCCCTCCCCACTCAAGGCAAATGGTTCTTAGACCAAGGAAAATACCTCTTTCCAGCCTCACAGGCTCATTCCATTCTATCGTCCTTTCATAACCTCTTCCATGTGGGTTACAAGCCACTAGCCCGCCTCTTAGAATCTGTCATTTCCTTTAAGACATTTGCCCTGCATTTCACTCCATCCTTGGCTACCTTCCCCTTGTTCTTTGGAATCTCCTCCTAGCCCCTCCACTTGCTTGCTTATAACCAGCCCCATGAATAGCAGTGAAAGGTTACTCATAGACATTATGAGCTTACTCATACACCATAAAAATAGAACCTCCCCCTCTACCCAGTTGCCCCATCAATCCCCATTACAACCTCTAACATGTGCTGCTCTCACTAAATCCCTAAGAGTCTAGGTGCAAGACACCTCTTTTGGTGCTTCTTCTCATCTTTTCACTTTACATTTCCGGTTTTGCCTTACAAAGGTCTTTTCTTCCTCTGCAGCTCCTCCACCTACATGTCTACCTGCTAATTGGATAGGTACATGTACGCTAGTTTTTCTTGTTTCCAAAATTCAATTTTCTAATAGGACCATGCAACTTCCTGTCCCCCGCATGACACCAACCAGACAAAAAAGAATTATTCCTCTAATCCCTCTACTTGTAGGCTTAGGACTTTCTGCTTCCACTACTGCCCTTGAAGCTGGAATAGCAGGGGTTTCAACTTCTATCACGGCCTTCTGTAGCCTTTCTAATAACTTTTCTACTAGCATTACAGATAAATCACAAACTTTATCAGTCCTTCAGGCCCAGGTTGACTCCTGAGCTGCAGTTCTCCTTCAAAGTCGCCAAGGACTTGACCTACTCACTGCTGAAAAAGGAGGACTCTGTGTATTTTTAAATGAACAATTTTGTTTTTATCTAAAACAATCCAGCCTGCTATATGACAACATACAAAAGCTTAAAGATGCCCAAAAACTCGGCAGCCAGGCAAATAATTATAGTGGATCCACCTGGACACTTTCTAACTGGGTGTCTTGTCTCCTCCCTATTCTTAGTCGCCTGGTACCTGTGTTTCTCCTTCTCTTATTCAGGCCTTGTGTCTTCTGTTTGGTTTCTCAATTCATACAAAACCACATTCAGATCATTACCAATCATCCTATACGACAAATGCTACTTTTAACGACCCCACGGTACCATCCTCTGCCCCAAGATCTCCCAACAGCCTAAATTCCTATTCCTTGTAACTCATTATAAAATTTTTTTAAGGTGTCCATGCAGTCCCTGGTCACGCTTTAAGCAGTCCCAAGAAACATCGCCCCTACACCAATAATCCCCAGTAAAACTTATATTTTCTTTATCTTTTATTATAACTTTATATTTTATAAATAAAAAGACAGGAATGTCAGACCTCTGAGCCGAAGCTCAGCCATTGTAACCCCTGTGACCTGCACATATATGTCCAGATGGCCTGCGGGAGCCAAGAAGTCTGGGGCAACCCAAAACTACAAGAGAAGTAAAACAGCCAGCTCCTGTCTTAATTGACTGACCAACCTTACAACATTCCATTATGACTTGTTCCTGCCCTGCCCCAACTGATCGATCAACTTCGTGACATTCTTCTGGGCAATGAGTCTTATGATCTCCCTACCATGAACCCTGTGACTCCCTCCTCTGCTGAAAATTGATAACCACCTTTAACTGTAACTTTCCACTGCTTACTCCAGTCCTATAAAACTGCCCCATCCCTATCTCTCTTTGCTGACTCCTTTTTTGGACTCAGCCCTCCTGCACCCAGGTGAAATAAACAGCTTTATTGCTCACACAAAGCCTGCTTGGTGGACTCTCTTCACATGGATGTGCGTGACATAGATCTTCCCTCTGACAGAGCCTACCCAAATGAAAAGGAACAAGAAAACCAACCCTGGTGATATGACAAAACAAAGCTTGTTAACACCCCCCAAAAATCACACTAGTTCACCAACAGTGGATCCAAACTAACAAGAAATCCTCCATTTACCTAAAAAAGAATTCAGGAGGTTAGTTATTAGGCTAATCACAGAGGGACCAGAGAAAGGCAAAGCCCCACGCAAGGAAATCCAAAAAAATAATACAAGAAGTGAAGGGAGAAATATTCAAGGAAATAGATAGCTTAAAGAAAAAGCAATAAAAAATTCAGGAAACGCAGAATACACTTTTAGATATGCGAAATTCTGTGGAAAGTCTCAGCAATAGAATTGAACAAGTAGAATAAAGAAATTTAGCGATCAACGACACGGTCTTTGAATTAGCCCAATCCAACAAAGACAAGGAAAAAAGAATAAGAAAATATGAACAAAGCCTCCAAGAAGTATGGAATTATGTTAAATGACTAAACCTAAGAATAACTGGTGTACCTGAGAAAGAAGACAATTCTAAAACCTTGCAAAACGTATTTGGGGGAATAATCAAGGAAAACTTCTGTGGTCTTGTTAGAGACCTAGACATGCAATTACAAGAAGCACAAAGAACATCTGGGAAATTCATTGCAAAAAGATCTTCACCTAGGCACATTGTCATCAGGTTATCCAAAGTTAAGACAAAGGAAAGAATCTTAAGGTCTGTGAGACAGAAGCACCAGGTAAACTATACAGGAAAGCCTATCAGATTAACAGCAGATTTCTGCCAGAAACCCCACAAGCCAGAAGGGATTGGGGCCCTATCTTCAGCCTCCTCAAACAAAACAATTATCAGTCAAGAGTTTTGTATCCGTGAAACTAAGCATCATATATGAAGGAAAGATACAGTCATTTTCAGATGAACAAATGCTGAGATAATTTGCTATTACCAAACAACTACTACAGGAACTGCTAAAAGGAGCTCTAAATCTTGAAACAAATCCTGGAAACACATCAAAACAGAACGACTTTAAAGCATAAATCACACAGGACCTATAAAATAAAAATACAAGTTAAAAAGCAAAAACAAACAAACAAAACAAAGCACACAGGCAACAAAGAGCATGATGAATGCAACAGTACCTCACATTTCAATACTAACATTGAATGTAAATGGCCTAAATGCTCCATTTAGAAGATACAGTACTGGAGAATGAATAAGAACTCACCAATCATCTGCTGCCTTCAGGAGACTCACATAACACATAAGGACTCACAAAAATTTAAAGTAAAGGGGTGGAAAAAGGCATTTTGTGCAAATGGACACCAAAAGCGAGCAGGGGAGCTATTCTTATATCAGACAAAACAAACTTTAAAGCCACGGCAGTTGAAAGAGACAAAGAGGGACATTATATAATAGTAAAAGGCCTTGTCCAACAGGAAAGTATCACAAACCTAAATATATATGCACCTAACACTGGACCTCCCAAGTTTATAAAACAATTACTAATAGACGTAAGAAATGAGATAGACAGCAATACAATTATAGTGAGGGACTTCAGTACTTCACTGACAGCAGTAGACAGGTCAATCAAGACATAAAGTCAAAAAAGAAACAATGGATTTAAACTATACGTTGTAACAAATGGACTTAACAGATATATACAGAACATTTTATCCAACAACTACAGAATACACATTCAATTCAACAATGCATGGAACTTTCTCCAAGATAGACCATATAATAGGACATAAAAGGAGGCTTGATAAATTTAAGAAAATTGAAATTATATCAAGCACTGTCTCTCACTATAGTGGAAAAAAAACTGGAAATAAACTCCAAAAGGAACCTTCAAAACCAGGCAAATACATCGATATTAAATAACTTGCTCCTGAGTGAGCACTGGGTCAAACAAAATCAAGATGGAAATTTAAAAATTTCTTTGAACTGAATGACAATAACAACACAACCTAGGACAGGCGCAGTGGCTCACGCCTATAATCCCAGCACTTTGGGAGGCCGAGGCGGGTGGATCACAAGGTCAGGAGATTGAGATCATCCTGGCTAACATGGTGAAACCCGTCTCTACTAAAAATACGAAAAAAAAAAAAAATTAGCCGGGCATGGTGGTGGGTGCCTGTAGTCCCAGCTACTCGCGAGACTGAGGCAAGAAAATGGCATGAACCTGGGAGGCGGAGCTTGCAGTGAGCTGAGATCGCGCCACTGCAGTCCAGCCTGGGCAACAGAGCGAGACTCCCTCTCAAAAAATAAAAATAAATAAAAACAAAAAACACAACCTATCAAAACCTCTGGGATACAGCTAAGGCTGTGCTAAGAGGAAAGTTCAGAGCCCTAAACGCCTATATCAAAAAGTCCAAAAGAGCACAAAGAGACAATCTAAGGTCATACCTCAAGGAACTGGAGAAACAAGAATAAACGAAACCCAAACCCAGCAGAAGAAAGGACATAACCAAGATCAGAGCAGAACTAAATGATACTGAAACAAACAAACAAATCTCCACAAAAGATAAATGAAACAAAAAGCTGGTCTTTGAAAAGATAAATAAAATGGATAGACCATTAGCAAGACTAACTAAGAAGAGAGAAAAATGCAAATAACCTCAGTAAGAAATGAAATATGAGATATTACAACTGACACCACTGAAACAGAAAACATCATTTAAGGCTACTATGAACACCTTTATGTACATAAACTATAAAACCTAGAAGAGATGGATAAATTCCGGAAAAATACAACCCTCTTAGTGTAAATCAGGAAGAAATTGATACCCTGAACAGACCAATAACAAACAGTGAGATTGGAATGGTAGTTTAAAAATTACCAACAAAAAAAAGTCCAGGACCAGATAGATTCACAGCAGAATTCTACAAGACATGCAAAGAAGAATTGATGCCAATCCTTTTGACACTATTCCACAAGATAGAAAAAGAAGGAACCCTCACTAATTCATTCTATGAAGCCAGCATCACCCTAATACCAAAATCAGGAAAGGACACAATCAATAAAGAAAAGTACAGACAGATATCTTTAAGGACTGTAGATGCTAAAATTCTTAACAAAACACTAGCTAACCAAATCCAAAAACATATCAAAAAGATAATCCACCATGATAAAGTGGGTTTCATAACAGGGATGATTTAACATATGCAAGTCAATAAATGTGATACACCACATAAACAGAATTAAAAACAAAAATCACATGATAATCTCAATAGATGCAGAGAAAGTATTCAACAAAATCCAGCATCCCTATATGATTAAACCCTCAGAAAAATCGGCATGCAGGGGACATACCTTAATATAATAAAAGCCATCTAGGACAAACCCACAGCCAACATAATACTGAATGGGGAAAAGTTGAAAGCATTCCCTCTGAGAATGGGAACAACACAAGCATGCTCATTCTCACCACTCCTCTTCAACATAGTACTGGAAGTCCTAGCCAGAGTAATCAGACAAGAACAATAAATAAAGGGCATCCAAATTGGTAAAGAGGAAGACAAACTGTCCCTGTCTGCTGAAGATATGCTTGTTTACCTGAAAACCCTAAGGACTCCTCCAAAAATCTCCTAGAACTGATAAAAGAATTCAGCAAAGTTTCCAGATACAAGATTAATGTACACAAATCAGTAGTTCTTCTATATACCAACAGTAACCAAGCTGAGAATCAAATCAAGAACTCAATCCCTTTTACAATAGCTGCAAAAAAAAAAAAAATACTCAGGAATATACCTAACCAAGGAGTTGAAAGACCTCTATAAGGAAAACAACAAAACGCTGCTGAAAGAAATCATAGATAACACAAACAAATGGAAACACATCCCATGCCCATGGATGGGTAGAATCAATGTTGTGAAAATGACCATACTGCCAAAAGCAATCTACAAATTCAATGCAATCCCCATCAAAATAAAACCATCATTCTTCACAGAGCTAGAAAAAACAATTCTGAAATTCATATGGAACCAAAAAATAGCCCACACAGCCAAAGCAAGATTAAGCAAAAAGAGTAAATCTAGAGGCGTCACACTACCTGGTTTCAAATTATAATATAAGGCCGTAGTACCAAAACAGTATAGCACTGGTATAAAAATAGGCACATAGACCAATGGAACAGAAGAGAGAACAAAGAAATAAACCCAAATACTTATAGCCAACTGATGTTTGACAAAGGAAACAAAAATATAAGGACGCCCTTTTCAACTAATGGTGCTGGGATACTTGGCTAGCCACATGTAGGAGAATGAAACTGCATCCTTATCTATCACCTTATAGAAAAATCAACTCAAGATGGATTAAGAACTTAAACCTAAGACCTGAAGCTATAAATATTTTAGAAGATAACACTGGAAAAACCTTTCTAGGTATTGGCTTAAGCAAGGATTTCATGACCAGGAATCCAAAGGAAATGCAATAAAAACAAAGATAAATAGTTGGGACCTAATTAAACTAAAGAGCTTTTGCACAGCAAAAGGAACAGTCAGCAGAGTAAACAAACAGCCCACAAAGTGGGAGGAAATCTTCACAATCTATACATCTGACAAAGGCCCAATATCCAGAATCTACAATGAAGTCAAACAAATCAGCAAGAAAAAAACAAACGATCTCATCAAAAAGTGGGCTAAGGACATGAATAGATAATAATCAAAAGAAGATATACTAATGGCCACCAAACATATAAAAAATGCTCAACATCACTGAAGATCAGGGAAATGCAAATCAAAACCACAATGTGATACCACTTTACTCCTGCAAGAATGGCCATAATCAAAAAATAAAAAAAAGAGTAGATGTTGGCATTGATATAGTGATCAAGGAACACTTCTACACTGCTGGTGGGAATGTCAACTAGTACAGTCACTATGGAAAACAGTGTGAAGATTCCTTATAGAACAAAAAGTAGAACTACCATTTGATCCAGCAATCCCACTACTGGGTATCTACCCAGAGGAAAATAAGTCATTATTCGAAAAAGATACTTGCACACCCATGTTTATAGCAGCACAATTCTCAATTGTAAAATCGTGGAAACAACCCCAATGCCCATCAATCAATGAGTGGATAAAGAAAATTGTGGCATATATATATAATACTCAGCCATAAATAGGAATGAATTATGAATTAACAGCATTTGCAGTGACCTGGATGAGATTAGAGACTATAGTTCTAAGTGAAGTAACTCAGGATTAAAAAACCAAACATCATACATTCTCACTGATATGTGGGAGCTAAGCTATGAGGACGCAAAGGTATAAGAATGATGCCATGGACTTTGGGGACTTAGGGGAAGGGTGGGAATGGTGTGAGGGATAAAAGACTACAAATATGGTGCAGTGTATACTGCTCCAGTGATGGGTGCACCAAAATCTCACAAATCACCACTAAAGAACTTACTCATGTAACCAAACAAGACCTGTACCCCAATAACATATAAAAAAAAATTAAAAAATTAAAATTAATAAAACAAAACAAACAATAAAACAAAAACAAAAAAGCAAAAAGAGAAACAAAACAAAACAAAAAGCCTAACACGGTCATGTAACAAACAGAACACTTGTTTGGAAAAAATGTAGAAATTTTATGAAATAAGCTTCAAGTTCTACCAAGGAAAACAGGAATATAGTAATACAAAGTGTTGTTTCTCCCATACCTATCCCCCGTCGTTCCCCTTCTTGTTAATGGCACCAATACCTTTCAGCATTGACTGTGAAATCACTCTCACCATCTCACAATCCAGTAAGAAAATCATATAGACCATAAGTCTGTAATGTCTCACTGGCTAATACTTCCACATTATCATGTCTTACCTAGAATTTTAAAAAGTATTTCACCTACTTAGCACTTCTTACTCCCTCCAATGCATCTTTTAAAATATATCATTCTCAAACTGATATTTTTAAACCACAGATCTAAGTTATAATGTATCTTTCACTCTCTTGCCCACAACCCTTTGACAAAGAGATAAAGCAGAAAATATCTCTGCTGAGCACACATTGGCCACCAGGTTCTGATTCCCATCTATTCTTTCAAGCACAAAACACAGCTCCACACCATTCATGCTCCTTATGAATGACTATGACTTATTTCCCTGAAAACGGCCCCTGAGTCACACAATGAAGCCTCTGATTGGAAATTCTCTTACTCCACTCAATTATCATGTGATTAACATGGCCTATCTTCTTTCCTACTATGACATCAGAATTCATTTTCTTGAGCTTTAGTGCTTTTTGTGGCCTTTGTATAGATTCTTCCCTGGTGCCCCAGGTTCTGGCACATAGAAGCTGGACATTTATCCCTGCAGTCTCTGAGAGATAAGAATGTAGGAGGCAGCAAGTCCTGGGTGAGAGAGGAAGCTGGATTAAGTACCACTAGGAATAAATGCAGAGGGAAAAGCAGATCACTGGCTGGGAGAAGCTTTTGGTCTTCCTAGAGATATGTGAACAATCACTCTTTTACAGACATAAGAATGAATATTATCTCTTTTCCAGGTACCTTACCCTCACTAAACTTGGTTGGGGGAAGTCTTCACATTGCAACATACACAGTTTTGGTCTTTTTAGAGATATGTGAACAATCATTCTTTTACAAACATAAGAATGAATATGATCACTTTTCCTGGCACCTTACCCTCACTAAACTCGGTGGAGAGAAGTCCTCCCATTGCAACACACACAGAAGATGTAGTCTCCATCCGACTCTCTTAGTCTGACATTGAGGGTCTGGCTTCAGACAGAATGACAGTTTTGCCCCAGAGACCTTGCATATGGAAGAGCTGTATGTGGTAATTAAACTTCTTCCTCCACTCCCTCCAGCATCTGTGACAACAAACAAGAGGATAGATATATTAGACCACAAAGCTTCACAAAGAAAAATGTTTGTACATGTCTGTACATCTGACATCCGACACCCCTCATAATGAACCTGTCTTATGGGTTCTGCCACACAACCAGGCCTGATTATAAACCACAGCCTGACCAGCACCAACAATGGCAGAGGCATGAACCCCAATTATGCTGCCAGGGCTATACCACTCTATACCCCAGCTCCACCACTGGGGTCTGTATGGTATGGAAGCATGGAAGCCCCAACACCCAACATAAAGATTCATCAATTTCCTTCAACACCCAGACTGAACATAAGCACTGTAGCCCCACCCAATCTTTATTTGAAATGGTTTCTGCACCTTGTCTTTTATACACAACCTTGATCAGATCCAGCTGTTTCCTGAATACGACAATAGCCAGGATAAAGTCCTGAAACCTGACTCTGCATCTGTCTCAATTCAAAACAGGAAGATGTAACTAGTCCTGTAAGTAATTGGCTCCTGTCCCTGTAATATATCACGTTCAGTTGTAATCCCCAATGATGGAGGTGGGAAGGTGACTAGATCATGGGGGTAGATTTCTCACAGTGGTTTAGCACCATCACCTTGGTGCTGTTCTCATGATAGTGAGTCAGTTCTCCTGAAATCTAGTTGTTTAAAAGTGTGTAGCACCTCCCTCGCCCTCTTACTCCTGCTCCTGCCATGTAAGACGTGCCTGCTTCCCCTTCACCTTCCACATGATCATAAGTTTCCTGAGGCTTCCTCAGAAGCCAAGCAGATGCCAGCACCAAGCTTCCTGCACAGCCTGCAGAACCATGAGCCAATTAAACCTCTATTCTTTATAAATTACCCAGTCTTAGGTATTTCTTTATAGTAATGTGAGAATGGCCTAAGACACCCTGTCAATCTGCACCTGGGCAGTGTCTTCATAATTCAAGGTGCAGTACAGCAATTCTGACACTGGAGGCTGCGTTGCCTAACAAATAATCACAAGAGCCAGAATTATTCAGGAAATATCTGAGACTGGCCTTTATCTCTAAGAGACAATGGAAAGAAGATTTCCAATAAATATTACAGTTAGTGGCATAGAGGTTTTCCCTCTTTCTCCTCTACATCCTGGTTTATTCCCTGTGTTGATGCCTCCAGATCTACTCCCAGTCACTGGACACAGTCATACACAAACGCATAATGCACAGCAATCCACCTCTGTACAGTCTGACTGACAATATTTTCAACAAATGCTGTATTTTTCTGAACATAACCCCATCATACATAGAAAAGCAACTGAAAGTTGAGAAACTGTAAGTTGAGTCATCATAAGTCAAGGACATCTGTCTATTCTACTTTTATGATGCCTGTCATGGCAAATCAAGTAGCCTCCTAATTTCTCTTCCCTGTTCCACTTTCTGATTCTCTCAAAAATCCATCCTCAACACCGTAAAGAGATGGCTCATCAATCCATCAACAACTGACAAGAAACTTGTAATGAATTCGCAAAGAGTTGCATGGAGGAATCAAATGGGTAGAGGCCTTGTTATACATATTTTAAATTAATCTTTACTGTTTAAACGACAGTTGTTACATGCAGTTGTAAGAAATAATTCAAAGATTACACAGAGATCCTGTGTACACTTTATTCAGTTTCCCCCAATGGTAAAATTTTGCAAAACTACAGTACAATATCACAACCAGGAAATTCACATTAATAGTGAGATACAGAATATTCCATCGCCACAGGGATCCTGCCTGTTGCTCTTCTACAGCTATACTCACTTCCTTCCTGCTCCCACCCCTTTCTTAACCTCTGGAAAGAACTAATCGTTTCTCCAATTCCATAATTTTGTCATTTCAGAAATGTAATATAAACGGAATCACACATCGTGTAATCTTTGGGACCGCCTCATTTCACTCAGCATAATTCTCTGAAGATTCCTCCAGGTTGCTGCTTGTCCTGTGTTTGTTCCTTTTCATTCCATTGTATGGAACGGTTCAACAGTTTGTTGAACCATTTGCATTTTGAAGGACAACTAGGTTGTTTCCCATTTGGAGTTATGACAAGTAAAGTTGCTACAAACATTCATGCACAGGACTTTGTGTAAACATGTTTTCATTTCTCTGTGATAAATCCCTAAAAATATAATTACTAGATCATATAGCAGTTTTTTATTAAACTTTTAAGTTATAGGGTACATGTGCACAATGTGCAGGTTTGTTACATATGTATACATATGCCATGTTGGTGTGCTGCACCCATTAACTCTTCATTTAACATTAGGTATATCACCTAATGCTATCCCTACCCCCTCCCCCAACCCCACAACAGGCCTCGGTGTGTGATGTTCCCCTTCCTGTGTGCATGTGATCTCACTGTTCAATTCCCACATATGAGTGAGAACATGTGGTGTTTGCTTTTTTGCGCTTGTGATAATAGGCTGAGAATGATGGTTTCCAGCGTCATCCATGTTCCTACAAAGGACATGAACTCATCCTTTTTTATGGCTGCATAATATTCCATGGTGTATATGTGCCACATTTTCTTAATCCAGTCTATCACTGTTGGACATTTGGCTTGGTTTCAAGTCTTTGCTATTGTGAATAGCGCTGCAATAAACATATGTGTGCATGTGACTTTATAGCAGCATGTTTTATAATACCTTAGGTATATACCCAGTAAAGGAATGGCTGGGTCAAATGGTATTTCTAGTTCTAGATCCCTGAGGAATCGCCACACTGACTTCCACAATGGTTGAACTGGTTAACAGTCCCACCAATAGTGTAAAAGTGTTCCTATTTCTTCACATCCTCTCCAGCACCTGTTGTTTCCTGACTTTTTAATGACCACCACTCTAACTCGTGTGCGATGGTGTCTCATTCGGGTTTTGATTTGCATTTCTCTGATGGCCAGTGACGATGAGCATTTTTTCATGTGTCTTTTGGCTGCATAAATGTCTTCTTTTGAGAAGTGTCTGTTCATATTCTTTGCCCACTTTTTGATGGGGTTGTTTGTTTTTTTCTTGTAAATTTGTTTCAGTTCACTGTAGATTCTGGATATTAGCCCTTTGTCAGATGACTAGACTGCAAAAATTTTCTCCCATTCTGTAGGTTGCTTGTTCACTCTGATGGTAGTTTCTTTTGCTGTGCAGAAGCTCTTTAATTTAATTAGATCCCATTTGTCAATTTTGGCTTTTGTTGCCATTGCTTTTGGTGTTTTAGTCATGAAGTCCTTACCCATGCCCATGTCCTGAATGGTATTGCCTAGGTTTTCTTCTAGGGTTTTTATGGTTTTAGGTCTAACTTTTAATTCTTTAATCCATCTTGAATTAATTTTTGTATAGGGTGTAAGGAAGGGATCCAATTTCAGCTTTCTACATGTGGCTAGCCAGTTTTCCCAGCACCATTTATTAAATAGGGAATCCTTTCCCCATTTCTTGTTTTTCTCAGGTTTGTCAAAGATCAGATAGTTGTAGATATGTGGCATTATTTCTGAGGGCTCTGTTCTCTTCTATTGGTCTATATCTCTGTTTTGGTACCAGTACCATGCTGTTTTGGTTACTGTAGCCTTGTAGTATAGTTTGAAGTCAGGGAGTGTGATGCCTCCAGATTTGTTCTTTTGGCTTAGGATTGACTTGGCAATGCAGGCTCGTTTTTGGTTCCATATGAACTTTAAAGTAGTTTTTTCCAATTCTGTGAAGAAAGTCATTGGTAGCTTGATGGGGATGACATTGAATCTATAAATTACCTTGAGCAGTATGGCCATTTTCATGATATTGACTCTTCCTACCCATGAGCATGGAATGTTCTTCCATTTCTTTGTATCCTCTTTGATTTCATTGAGCAGTGGTGTGTAGTTTTCCTTGAAGAGGTCCTTCACATCACTTGTAAGTTGGATTCCTAAGTATTTTATTATCTTTGAAGCAATTGTGAATGGGAGTTCACTCATGATTTGGCTCTCTGTTTGACTGTTATTGATGTGTAAGAATGCTTGTGATTTTTGCACATTGATTTTGTATCCTGAGACTTTGCTAAGTTGCCTATCAGCTTAAGGAGATTTTGGGCTGAGACGATAGGGTTTTATAGATATGCAATCATGTCATCTGCAAACAGGGACAATTTGACTTCCTCTTTTCCTAATTGAATACACTTTATTTCCTTCTCCTGCCTGATTGCCCTGGCCAGAACTTCCAACACTATGTTGAATAGGAGTGGTGAGAGAGGGCATCCCTGTCTTGTGCCAGTTTTCAAAGGGAATGCTTCCAGTTTTTGCCCATTCAGTATGATAATGGCTGTGGGTTTGTTATAGATAGCTCTTATTATTTTGAGATATTTCCCATCAATACCTAATTTATTGAGAGTTTTTAGCATGAAGGGATGTTGAATTTTGTCAAAAGCCTTTTCTGCATGTATTGAGATAATCATGTGGTTTTTGTCTTTGGTTCTGTTTATATGCTGGATTACATTTATTGATTTGTGTATGTTGAACCACCCTTGCATCCCAGGGATGAAGTCCACTTGATCATGGTGGATAAGCTTTTTGATGTGCTGCTGGATTTGGTTTTCCAGTATTTTATTGAGGATTTTTGCAACGATGTTCATCAGGGATATTGGTCTAAAATTCTCTTTTGTTGTGTCTCTGCCCAGCTTTGGTATCAGGATGATGCTGGCCTCATAAAATGAGTTAGGGAGGATTCCCTTTCTTTCTATTGATTGGAATAGTTTCAGAAGGAATGGTACCAGTTCCTCTTTGTACCTCTGGTAGAATTCGGCTGTGAATCCATCTGGTCCTGGAATTTTCGGTTGGTAAGCTATTAAGTATTGCCCCAAATTCAGGGCCTCTTATTGGTCTATTCAGAGATTCAACTTCTTCCTGGCTTAGTCTTGGGAGGGTGTATGTGTCAAGGAATTTATCCATTTCTTCTAGATTTTCTAGTTTATTTGCATAGAGGTGTTTATAGTATTCTCTGATGGTAGTTTGTACTTCTGTGGGATCAGTGGTGATATCCCCTTTATCATTTCTTTTTGTGGCTACTTGATTCTTCTCTCTTTTCTTCTTTATTAGTCTTGCTAGCGGTTTGTCAATTTTGTTGATCTTTTCAAAAAACCAGCTCCTGGATTCATTGATTTTTTGAAGGGATTTTTGTGTCTCTATTTCCTTCAGTTCTGCTCTGATCTTAGTTATTTCTTGCCTTCTGCTAGCTTTCGAAGGTATTTGCTCTTGCTTCTCTAGTTCTTTTAATTGTGATGTTAGGTTGTCAATTTTAGATCTTTCCTGGTTTCTCTTGTGGGCATTTAGTGCTACAAATTTCCCTCTACACACTGCTTTGAATGTGTCCCAGAGATTCTGGTATGTTGCGCCTTTGTTCTCTTTGGTTTCAAAAAACATCCTTATTTCTGCCTTCATTTCGTTATATACCCAGTTGTCATTCAGGAGCAGGTTGTTCAGTTTCCATGTAGTTGAGCGGCTTTGAGTGAGTTTCTTAATCCTGAGTTCTAGTTTGATTGCACTGTGGTCTGAGAGATAGTTTGTTATAATTTCTGTTCTTTTACATTTGCTGAGGAGAGCTTTACTTCCAACTATGTGGTCAATTTTGGAATAGGTGTGGTGTGGTGCTGAAAAGAATGTATATTCTGTTGATTTGGGGTGGGGAGCTCTGCAGATGTCTATTAGGTCCGCTTGGTGCAGAGCTGAGTTCAGTTCCTGGATATCCTTGTTAACTTTCTGTCTCATTGATCTGTCTAATATTGACAGTGGGGTGTTAAAGTCTCCCATTATTATTGTGTGGGAGTCTAAGTCTCTTCGTAGGTCTCTAAGGATTTGCTTTATGAATCTGGGTGCTCCTGTATTGGGTGCATATATATTTAGGATAGTTAGCTCTTCTTGTTGAATTGATCCCTTTACCATTATGTAATGGCCTTCTTTGTCTCTTTTGATCTTTGTTGGTTTAAAGTCTGTTTTATCAGAGACTAGGATTGCAACCCCTGCCTTTTTTTGTTTTCCATTTGCTTGGTAGATCTTCCTCCATCCTTTTATTTTGAGCCTATGTGTGTCTCTGCACGTCAGATGGGTTTCCTGAATACAGAACACTGATGGGTCTTGACTCTATCCAATTTGCCAGTCTGTGTCTTTGAATTGGAGCATTTAGCCCATTTACATTTAATGTTAATATTGTTATGTGTAAATTTGATCCTGTCATTATGATGGTAGCTGGTTGTTTTGTCGTTAGTTGTTGAAGTTTCCTCCTAGCCTCGATGGTCTTTACCATTTCGCATGCTTTTGCAGTGGCCGGTACTGGTTGTTCCTTTCCATGTTTAGTGCTTCCCTCAGGGGGTCTTGTAGGGCAGGCCTGGTGGTGACAAAATCTCTCAGCATTTGCTTGTGTGTAAAGGACTTTATTTCTCCTTCACTTATGAAGCTTAGTTTGGCTGGATATGAAATTCTGGGTTGAAAATTCTTTTCTTTAAGAATGTTGAATATTGGTCCCCACTGTCTTCTAGCTGGTAGAGTTTCTGCGGAGAGATCCGCTGTTAGTCTGATGGGCTTCCCTTTGTGGGTAACCCGACCTTTCTCTCTGGCTTCCCTTAACATTTTTTCCTTCATTTCAATTTTGGTGAATCTGACAATTATGTGCCTTGGGGTTGCTCTTCTCGAGGAGTATCTTTGTGACATTCTCTGTATTTCCTGAATCTGAATGTTGGCCTGCCTTGCTAGATTGAGGAACTTCTCCTGGATAATATCCTGCAGAGTGTTTTCCAACTTGGTTCCATTCTCCCTGTCACTTTCAGGTACACCAATCAGACGTAGATTTGGTCTTTTCACATAGTCCCATATTTCTTGGAGGCTTTGTTCGTTTCTTTTTATTCTTTTTTCTCTAAACCTCTCTCTCGCTTCATTTCATTCATTTTATCTTCCATCACTGATACCCTTTCTTCTAGTTGATCACATCAGTTACTGAGGCTTGTGCATTCGTCATGTAGTTCTCGTGCCGTGGTTTTTCAGCTCCGTCAATTCCTTTAAGGATTTCTCTGCATTGCTTATTCTAGTTAGCCATTCCTCTATTTTTTTTCAAGGTTTTTAACTTCTTTGCCTTGGGTTCAAACTTCCTCTTTTAGCTCGTAGTAGTTTGATCGTCTGAAGTCTTCTTCTCTGAACTCATCAATGTCATTCTCTGTCCAGCTTTGTTACATTGCTGGTGAGGAGCTGCATTCCTTTGGAGGAGGAGAGGTGTTCTGATTTTTAGAGTCTCCAGTTTTTCTGCTGTTTTTTCCCCATCTTTGTGGTTTTATCTACCTTAGGTCTTTGATGATGGTGATGTACAGATGGGGTTTTGGTGCGGATGTCCTTTCTGTTTGCTAGTTTTCCTAACAGTCAGGATCCTCAGCTGCAGGTCTGTTGGAGTTTGCTGGAAGTCCACTCCAGACCCTGTTTCCCTTGGTATCAGCAGCAGAGGCTGCAGAACAGTGGATGTTGGTGAACAGCAAATGTTGCTGCCTGATCCTTCCTCTGGAAGTTTTGTCTCAGAGGAGTACCCGGCCGTGTGAGGTGTCAGTCTGCCCCTACTGGTCGGTGCCTTTCAGTTAGGCTACTCAGGGTTCAGGGACCCACTTGAGGAGGCAGCCTGTGAGTTCTCAGATCTCCAGTTGCATGCTGGGAGAACCACTACTCTCTTCAAATCTGTCAGACAGGAACATTTAAGTCTGCAGAGTTTTCTGCTGCCTTTTGTTTGGCTATGCCCTGCCCCCAGAGGTGGAGTCTACAGAGGTCGGCAGGCCTCCTTGAAACTGCGGTGGGCTCCACCCACTTCGAGCTTCCTAGCCACTTTGTTTACCTACTCAAGCCTCAGCAATGGCGGGCGCCCCTCCCCCAGCCTCGCTGCTGCCTTGCAGTTTGATCTCAGACTGCTGTGCTAGCAATGAGTGAGGCTCCGTGGGCGTAGGACCCTCCGACCCACGTGTGGGATATAATCTACTGGTGTGCCGTTTGCTAAGACCATTGGAAAAACACAGTATTAGGGTAGGAGTGACCCGATTTTCCAGGTGCCATCTGTCACCCCTTTCTTTGACTAGGAAAGGGAATTCCCTGACCCCTTGTGCTTCCCGGGTGAGGCAATGCCTCACCCTGCTTCAGCTGACGCTCGGTGTGCTGCACCCACGGTCCTGCACCCACTGTACAATACTCCCCAGTGAGATGGACCCGGTACCTCAGTTGGAAACGCAGAAATCGCCCATCTTCTGCATCGCTCACACTGGGAGCTGTAGACTGGAGATGTTCCTATTTGGCCATCTTGGCTCCACCCCCTCATATAGCAGTTTTTTGTTTAGTTTTGTAAGAAATTACCAAACTGTTTTCCAAACTGGCTGCACAATTTTACAACCCGAAAAGCATTGTATGTGTAATCCAGTTTCTCCTCATCCACACTAGCATTTGGTGTTGTCTCAATTATTTTTAATTTTAGTTATTCTCATATATGTGTAGTGATATCCCATCATGGCTTTAATTTGCATTTCCGAAATGGCGAATAATTTTGAACATCTTTTCATATGCTCATTTGCCATTTGTATATCCTCTTTGGTAAAGTATTGTTCATGTCTTTCCATATTTTATTCTCAGATAGTTTGCTTTTACTATTAAGTAATGAGAGTTCTTTAAATATTCTGGAAATTATTCCTTTGTGAGATATTTGTTTTATAAATATTTTCTCCCAGTCTGTAGCTTGTTTTACTGTTCACTTCACAGGGTCTTTTGTAGAGTAAGAACTCAACTTTGCCTATCAGCTTAAAGAGATTTTGAGCTGAGATGATGGGGTTTTCTAAATATACAATCATGTCATCTGCAAACAGGGACAATTTGACTTCCTCCTTTCCTAACTGAATACCCTTTATTTCTTTCTCTTGCCTGATTGCCCCGGCCAGAACTTCCAGTATTATGTTGAATAAGAGTGGTGAGAGAAGGCATCCTTGGCTTGTGCCAGTTTTCAAGGGAATGCTTCCAGCTTTTGCGCATTCAGTATGATATTGGCTGTGGGTTTGTCATAAATAGCTCTTTTTTATTTTGAGATACATTCCATCAATACTTAGTTTATTGAGAGTTTTTAGCATGAAGGGGTATTGAATTTTATGGAAGGCTTTTTCTGCATCTATTGATATAATCATGTGGTTTTTGTCATTGGTTCTGTTTATGTGCTAGATTACATTTATTGATTTGTATATGTTGAACCAGCCTTGCATCCCAGACATGAAGCCGACTTGATCATGGTGGATAAGCCTTTTCATATGCTGCTGGATTCGGTTTGCCAGCATTTTATTGAGGACTTTCACATTAATGTTCATCAGGGATATTGGCCTGAGATTTTCTGTTGTTGTTGTTGTGTCTCTGCCAGGTTTTGCTATCAGAATGATCCTGGCTTTAAAAAATGAGTTAGGGAGGAGTCCCTCTTTTTCTAATGTTTGGAACAGTTTCAGAAGAAATGGTACCAGCTCCTCTTTGTACCTCTGGTAGAATTTGGCTGTGAATCCATCTAGTACTGTGCTTTTTTTGGCGGGTAGGCTGTTAATTACTGCCTCAATTTCAGAATTTGTCATGGGTCTATTCAGGGATTCAACATCTTCCTGGTTTAGTCTTGGCACGGTGTATGTGTCCAGGAATTTATCCATTTCTTCTAGATTTTCTAGTTTATTCACATAGAGGTGTTTATAATATTCTCTGATGGTAGTCTGTACCATTTCTAGGGGATCAGTGGTGATATCCCCTTTATCATTTTTTATTGTGGCTATTTGATTCTTCTCTCTTTGCTTCTTTATTATTCTGGCTAGTGGTCTATTTTGTCAATCTTTTAGAAAAAATCAGGTCCTGGATTCATTGATTTTTTGAAGCGTTTTTCATGTCTCTATATTCCTCAATTCTGCTCTGATTTCAGTTATTCCTTGTCTTCTGCTAACTTTTGAATTTGTTTGCTCTTGCTTCTCTAGTTTTCTTTAACTGTGATGTTAAGGTGTCAATTTTAGATCTTTCCCAGTTTCTCCTGTGGGGGATTTAGTGCTGTAAATGTTCCTCTAAACACTGCTTTAGCTGTGTCCCAGAGATTCTGGTACGTTTTGTCTTTGTTATTGAATTCAAAGAACTTATTTATTTCTGCCTTAATTTCGCTATTTACCCAGTAGTCATTCAGGACCAGGTTGTTCCGTTTCCATGTAGTTGTGCAGTTTTGAATGAGTTTCTTAATCCTGAGTTCTAATTTGATTGCACTGTGGTCTGAGAGACTGTTTGTTATGATTCTCTTCTTTTGCATTTGCTGATGAGTGTTTTACTTCCAATTATGTGGTCAATTTTAGGAAAAGTGTGATGTGGTGCTGAGAAGAATGTATGCTCTGTTGATTGGGGTGGAGAGTGCTTTAGAGGTCTATTAGGTCGGCTTGGTCCAGAGCTGACATCTCAGTATACAGAATCAATGTGCAAAAATCACAAGCATTCTTGTACACCAATAAAAGACAGAGAGCCAAATCATGAGTGAACTCCCATTCACAAATTCTACAAAGAGAATAAAATACCTAGGAATACAACTTACAAGGGATGTAAAGGAACTCTTCAAGGAGAACTACAAACCACTGCTCAAGGAAGTAAGAGAGGACAAAAACAAATGAAAAAACACTCGATGCTAATGGGTAGGAATAAACAATATCATGAAAATGGCCATACTGCCCAAAGTAATGTATACATTCAATGCTATCCCCATAAAGCTACCAATGACTTTCTTCACAGAATTGGAAAAAACTACTTTAAAGTTCATATGGAACCAAAAAAGAGCCCGCATCGCCAAGGCAATCCTAAGCCAAAAGAACAAAGCTGGAGGCATCACACTACCTGACTTCAAACTATACTAGAAGGCTACAGTAACCAAAACAGCATGGTACTGCTACCAAAACAAAGATATAGACCAATGGAACAGAACAGAGGCCTCATAAATAACACCACACATCTACAACAATCTGACCTTTGACAAACCTGACAAAAACAAGTAATGGGCATAGGATTTCCTATTTAATAAATGGTGTTGGGAAAACTTGCTAGCCATATGCAGAAAACTGAAACTGGACCCCTTCCTTATGCTTTACACAAAAATTAACTCAAGTTGGATTAAAGACTTAAATGCTAAGACCTAAAACCATAAGAACCATAGAAGAAAACCTAGGCAAGACCATTTAGGACATAGGCATGGGCAAAGACTTCATGACTAAAACACCAAAAGCAATGGCAACAAAAGCCAAAATTGACAAATGGGATACAATTAAACTAAAGAGCTTCTGCACAGCAAAATAAACTATCATCAGAGTGAACAGGCAACCTACAGAATGGGAGAAAACTTTTGCAATCTATCTATCTGACAAAGGACAAGTATCCAGAATCTACAAAGAACTTAAACAAATTTACAAGAAAAAAACAACCCCATCAAAAAGTGGGTGAAGGATATAAACAGACACTTCTCAAAACAAGACATTTATGTGGCCAACAAACATATGAAAAAAAGCTCATCATCACTGATCATTAGAGAAATGAAAATCAAAACCAAAATGAGATACCATTTAACACCAGTTAGAATGGTGGTCATTAAAAAGTCAGGAAACAACAGATGCTGGAGAGGATGTGGAGAAATAGGAACACTTTTACACTGTTGGTGGGAGTGTAAATTAGTTCAACCATTGTGGAATACAGTGTGGCAATCCCCCAAGGATCTAGAACCGGAAATACCATTTGACTCAGCAATCTCATTACTGGGTATATACCCGAAGGATTATAAATCATTCTACTGTAAAGACACATGGACACGTATGTTTATTTCAGCAGTATTCAGAATAGCAAAGATTTGGAACCAACCCAAATGCCCATCAAGATAGACTGGATACAGAAAATATGGCACATATACATCATGGAATACTATGCAGCCATAAAAAAGGATGAGTTCACGTCCTTTGCAGGGACATGGATGAAGCTGGAAACCATCATTCTCAGCAAACTAACACAGGAACAGAAAGTCAAACACCGCATGTTCTCATGCATAAGTGGGAGTTGAACAATGAGAACATATCGACACAGGGAGGGAAACATCACACACCAGTGCCTGTCATGGTTAGGGGGCTAGGGGAGGGTAGCATTAGGAGATACCTAATGTAGATGACGGGCAGCAAACCACCATGGCACGTGTATACCTGTGTAACAAACCTGCATGTTCCGCCCATGTGTCCTAGAACTTCACACTGAACTTTACAGCCCTGGAAGTTGGGTATTTTCCTTCATTCTCCCACTCCTCCTTCTCCTCCAGATGTGGGCCTCCCTCTGTTAATGGCCCAAGATCATAATCAAAAACTAAATCTTACCTCTTCCTGAAGCACCTCATAAACAACGAACAGTCAGGTCCCAGAGATGCCACCATAGTTAATACCCTCCAACAACACCAACACAGTCTCACCTAGGTTCCCTAACTCATTCTATTCCACCCTCCAATCTATCTAGGCAGCACGTTTAGCCAATGAGCTCATCATCCTTGAACTGTCCTGACCAGGGTAAGAGTCAGTTAGACATCAATGTCAGTTAGTTAAATCAGTTAGTCAAGATGTCAGTTAGACATAAGTAAGTTATGTTTAACAAATGAAAGCTAATCTGCCTAAAGGAACATTCTATGTGTACTTGAGTGAACTACAGCACAACTTCCAGCATACCTGGTGCTTCAGTCTCCTGGCTGAAGCTATGCCTGGCTACTTCATTAATATAGGCCCTATACTTGTAAGGACCACACCTTTCTTCATGCTGTCAATTTCGTCTGTAAGCAGCTTCCTCAACATAGCCCATAGAGCTCTGCAAAGACATAACACACTGCCTTAGAATATTCACTTTACGGTAATTTGTGTTAAGTGCCATTATATCCTCTAGCGGAATAATTGAGTATAAAAATAAGATTATTTCAGACATTGGTAAAGTCATGAGAAGAAAATAACACAGGGAAGAATGATATAGAGTTACAGAGGGTGTGGGAGGGACCAGTTGAGGGAATTTAATTCAAGAAAAAAGGTCAGAGAGGGCCTCTCTGACAAATAAAAATCAGGAGATAGAAGCAATAGCTAAGAGATCTCTGGGAGGAACTTTCAGGGAAGAGTGAAGAGCAAATGAAAGACTTGGGGACAGAGGCTTTCTTATGCATAAGTGGTTATGCTCACAGGGGAGCATAGCAAGAGGCCCTAGTGCTGTGACCTGAAGCAGCACTATGGTTGAGAAGGCTCATTCATATAGACATTACTGTACCAGGCAAGGCTACTGCATTCTTTGTCCCTAATCCAGGCAGGGGACAGTCTATATTAACTCTATCTCTAAAATAAGAGTCTGTTTCCCTGATGACTGATTCACAGTCTTCATTCAACCCCCTACACTGCTGTCCCAGTGATATTTTTCAATCACAAATCAACATCATTCAGCATTGTACCACAAACATACTTACAAAATTTTAATCCCATTAACCACAGAATATACTCAAATCTCTGATGAACATTTGACTTTTTCCAGAAAATAGAACAGCATTATCCTACTTGCTAGCTCCCAACATATCCCTCACACATTCTATTATTTGGCTATTGGCTCTTCTCAGAAAGATCCTGTACCTGGAAAAAACTTCTTCCCATATTTCACATGAGTTCTTCAGTCCATGCTGAAATCCTTTCCCCTGGATGAGGCATTCAGAGATACCATGAAGTTGAACTTTACATTATTCCAGACTTTTTTTCTTTTTTTATGAGCAGGTAAAACTTTTAGTCTTTATAAGTAACAGTAAATGAATAATATTACTCAGGAATACTCCCTTGGAAGGAGTTCAAAAACATAACATCTTACAATTTTAATTTAGAGCTTATATTATAAACATTATCAGGTCTTGGCTGGGCCTATAAAAACATTTGAATGAATGGTTTTACAAGGTGAATTTTTTTTAAAAAATTGTAAGAGTGACCATAATAAAAGTAAGAAATTTCACTTACCTTTTTTCATCTTAAATACTTGTCATTTATTCTTCCTGTCTAACTGTAACTTTGTATCCTTTGACCCATATCTCCTATTTACCCTATCCCCACCCTCTGAGAACCACCATTCAACTCTCTGCTTCTATGAGTTCAATTATTTTAGATTGCACATATAAGTGAGAACATGCAGTATTTGTCTTTCTTTGCCCAGCTTATTTCACTTAGCATAATGTCCTCCAGGTTCATCTATGTTGTTGCAAATGGCAGAATTTCATTCTTTTTTAAGGCTAAATATCAAAAATCATTTTTTCTGAAGCACTGATCTGACTCTTACTTCATTCCTAGGCCCAAACCTATTTGCTTCCTCTAAAGTACCTACAAGATCAGCCTGGAATCCCCTGAGCTTAGCGTATTAGGACCAACAGGTTCTAGCTCCCATCCACTTTTCAAAAGCAATACCTTTCCTAAAACACTTCATGATCCATCCATTGTGGACTATTTGTTGTGTCCCTAAAATAAGCCCTATACATTCTGAGATTAGCTCCTTCAACCTGATTTGTCCCCCATTATTATATCATTCAAAGCTGTGCTCACATCTTATCACTGACATGAGAAATTTGTGACTTCCCTAAGCTGAAATTTTTATCACTCCCTTTTCTGTCACTGAAGGCAATATCTCTCATAAGGTTCTCATCATTAGCATTATTATATGACAGTCGGCTATATGTATATGGATTTTAAGACACCACACAGCAGGGACTGCATTATTTTCTCAACTGGGCACCCTACAGACACATACAAATACTACAAGGTACAAACTGGAAATTCAAAGCACATCTACTTTTACTTTACAGAGAGAAAACTGGAAATCAGAGATGTTAAAGAATTTGTTCAAGGACACACAATCGTTTAGTGGTAGAAAGCAGACCAGGATCCAGGCCACCAGGCTTCCAGGCCAGCAGTCTTTCCTTTTTGTGTGTGCACTGTTCATTATACTAGAGACATGGGACTCAAACAATATGAGTGCAAAGACAGTGAGAAAGGAAAAAACGACCTTTCGACTCATCTGTTTCCTTGGGACCTCGGTCTCACATGCAAATAAGGGGAGACAAGGAGAAGGCACACCCCTCCCACTGCCTCTGGCAGGCAATTCAGCGCCTTTCTTTTAATCCATTATTGTAGCCTTTGTGAATCAATTTCCAGGCCACCAGTCCCCCCTCCCCCCAACTCATCCAGTCTTTCCCTGGTTTTCTCAATGATTTTTCCATACAGGAAACAAACATAAGGACAAATTTTAAAGGAAATTCCCATGTACTAAAGGATATACTAAATTTATCTTTGATAAATGTTCAAAACTTTTCAGGAAATAGAACATCACCACTGGTACTCCACTAACACATCCAAAATTCTAACATTTCTGACATCTGGCTCATGGCTCTTCTTTAACCAGAGTCTGTGCTAGAAAGACCTCACCCCAGTCTTTCAGTATAAGCTCAAATCTTATACATTTCATGCAATTAATATCTCTTGTATCAATTAAACTTCCCACTAACTTGGTTCCCCACTATCTATTTGCCTTAAATCTGTAGAAAATAATTCCCAGGCTTTACATACCATTTCCTTCACTCTTGACAAGCATTACAAAATCCATATATTTTCTGTAACTTGCAGAATTTTTGTGTTTCTATGACCTTTGCATCAGCCAAATCACACTGCCAAGAACACAATCTCTCACCTCTGCTTGCCCGTGCAATGACTATTCATGCTTTAGGTTTCAGACTGGATGTTACTTCCTTCCAGAAGCTGACATGGAAACACAAGTCCAGATGAGGTGGCCCTCTTATGAGTTTCCAGTAAACCCAGTGCAAACATTCCATTTTTATGGTACATCAGACCATATTGTGTTGTACTTTCCAAATTCCTGTGGTGTCAAGATTTTTAGTATCTAGCATAGTGGTTGGATGGAGTAGGTTGGCTCTTATACAGTAAATGAATAAATGCAAAAAACAATAAATGCGAGGGATATAGGTATGCCTGTAGACCACAATATACCTCCACACGCTCTTCACTTCTATCTCTTCCAATTATTGGCAGATTCACCCAGATCAAACCCTTCCCATACCCATGACCTCACATTTCATCTGCATAAGGTCCATAATACATGAGACTATCTTCTCCACCTTGTTTTTACAGTGCATTGTCTGAGACTTCTCTGTCAGCAGCATGGCATCTCTTTATTGTCCATATTCCACATAACTTACAACATACAATATTCAAGGACCTGGGGGCATGACATAAGGATGGGTGTGGGGGAGAGGGTGCTGATCTAGGAAACAGTGGCGGACCACTGAGGCTTGAACACTAATAAGGCAGCAAGCCTCAGCAGAACTTCTAGATCATGTATTATCCTTGGGACCTTGTTTTATGAACTCTAGCTTACCTCAATAGTGTGTTGTGGTTTCAGTATAGAAGTTTGAAGAAGGTGGAGAAATTTGAAAACAGTTCTTATGGGAAATGGATAAGAGAACTCATCAGAAAAATGGAGAAGGATGAATAGGCTAGGCTGGAGGCCTTACCTTTCCCACAGTGGGGAAAATAACAAAAGATAAAAAGAGATGTCCAGTGAGTTTTCCCAGGTCACACACACCTTAGTGGTCTGATCAGGAGTAGAATCAGGAGTAGAACCATGATGCTGTAACTGGAGTCTTGGTTCATTTCATGTTGCTTCTTCACAGGAAAAAGTACCCAGTTGACTGTGGGCCAATGTGTGGGTTATGAAGGTGAAAGGACTACATAATTAAAGTCTTATTAGAGAATATGGATAACTTGTTGAAAAAGACCAGTAAGACAAGAATGTTTTGAGTTTAAAAGATCCCCAACTTGTCTTTACTTACTTTCTTATGTACATTTGGAAAACCAAAAGCCACCAACCGTAGCTTAATATATGTGGACTAGGATATTTAGAGTGAAAAAATAGTAATAACACATCTTGACTATTTCCACCTAACTCTACTAGCTAGGCCTTAATGTATACACCAATCATACCTGTGGTGCAAAACAGGAGAAGAAAAATACCTCCTCGGATTATGAATTGCAGCACAGCAATTGACCAAGTCTCTGCATGTTTACAAGTAAAGGAAAATGCACAAAGGTCCCTTTTGTTTGATGGTGTTTCTGATTATCATAAAGAAGGATCAATGAAACCATCAGAAAAACATCAGCTTTTGGACGCGTTACAGAGTTCTCATGCTTCATAGTCCCTGGATTCTAGCTCGAATTCTAATCAATGGTGGTATGAGGAGGCCAAATTCGAACCATAAGATACCAGTACAAGATGCCTGAAATGCCAGGCAAAGTACTGTGTTGGAGAAATGTACAAGGAAAAGCAGGTACCTGCCTTGGAAGAGCAATCATCCTAGTCTGAGAAACCAATCATTTATGGATAAATACAGAAAACAATAAAACGGGGGAAAACCCAGATTGACTTTGGTTCAGTGGACTCAACTGTGGGAAAGTCCTCCTTTCTTTAGTCTTATTTTACAAGAATTTGTAGATATTTTAAATATTTGCATATAAAGGAAATTTGAATGTGAAAAATAAGGAAATTTGAAAAATACCCAATTCCAGAATGAAACACATGATGAAGTGACCTTTGTTTGAAATATTCAGTGGTGTCTTGATGCCAGCATACTCCTCTAATGAATCTGAAGTCCACTTCTGATTGAGTATGGTAAGCACCTTCTTTGCTCACATGGTCTTTGGCTTTCTCAATTTGAAGACCCACCCCACCTTATTGTGAACCGCAGAGACAGTATGGCCTAACTATAGAAATCCTGGCCAGAAGTCCTAAAGGAGGTTTTTGGAATATGCCTCAAGGTGTAGCAGGAGAGAGAGTGGCCCTTGAAAACAAATCTTGGGGCAAAAGCAAGGTGGGTTTCTTCCCACTTTCACCTCTTCTGCTCACCTTCATCACCTCCACTCCAGTTTCTACTACTCTAGGAAACATATTACACTGGTCAGTCACTGAGGCTGAATACTAGCCATCATACCCACCCCACTTTTATCCAGTTCTACACTTTTGACCTCTGGAAGGCCACACCACTCAATCAACTCTTTACTCACATGTCCCATATCCTGGTGTGAGCCCTGATTGTATCTCACCTGAACTGCTAGGAGAGCCTCCCAAATGACATGCACATCAGCAGTCTCTCTCCCCTTAGTTCATCAGAAAGGTTTTATCATTCCCAGAGTAATCTGTCTAGTGTGCAATGTAAACTCTATTTCATTCCATTGTCCCAACTTTCATTCACTTGTAACACATATATCATGTATATACATATATACTATACATGTATAGTATATATATACTATACATGTATAGTATATATATACATATATAGTATATATACATATATATACATATATACTATACATGTATAGTATATATACACATATATACATATGTATATATAGTGTCTACTATGAGCCAGGCACTCTTCTGAGCATTTGAGAGAACAAATACTTGTTTAACTTCTCCTCCAACATGAACCTTCAGGCTCAACCCTAGGGAAAATTTCTGCAGAGAAAACCCCTCGATTAAACAGACAGGGACATCAAGAGAGGGAGAGGGAGTGGGTCTGAACCCTGCTTGCTTTCTAGCCCAGAAGACATCTCAATAGCTTATGTTTCACCTACAACTGACTCTTGAAGCTCTAGCATCCATCTTCAATAGTATCTACAAAAAGTGTATCAAAAGTTTACCTAGTCACCTACCATTTCTCTGTACAGAAACATTACTAACTACCATACACTGTTCTAAGACATTTATATATGTTAACTCATTTAATCATAACAAATTACCATTTTATCCCCATGGTATGGATGATTCTAAATCATATAAATATCATAGCTGCTAAGTAGTGATGCTTGGATTCAAACCCAGGAAGTCTAGCTCCAAAGCTTGCTTCCCCAGTGATCCAAGAATCAAACTCAAGCCTCTAACATGAAGTTATCTTCCCTTATATTCAAATTATGCTCACTTCTCACCTCATCCTAAAGTCTCCACAGATGTCATGGGTTAGAATTAACTCCTCTCTCACTGAATGAGCTCTTTTCTTCATCTTCTCCCTTTTCCTTACTCTCCTTTATTGTGAACTCATGATATCTCTGTATCCTCCCACAGAAACACTGGGAACTAGAAAAGATGTGTTCATGGATTTCAAAGTATTTCAAATGGATTTCAGGTATCTCAGAGCTCATCTGGCTCTACCCCCTTAATAAAGGTGAGAAACCAGACATCAGACATATTAAGCAATATTCCCCATGCCAGTAAGATACTTAATGATAAACTTCAACTCCTTTCTAGAAGGAGCTTTTCACAACTCCTGTTCTAGAATTCTTTCTAGTCTACATGCTGGTTCTGGATTACCCCCCAATGAATACAACAATGTACCTACAGTCAACAATACTGTATCGTACACTTAAAAATGTATGACAAGTATAGATCACATGTAAAAATAACATAAAATTAATAAAGTAAAAAAATGTCCATTAGTGATGGGGTTACCAGATTGAGAGGACTTAGATTCAGGAAAGATGGAGAAGAAAGAAGGAAATAGTGAAAACAGGAAAAAATAAAAAAGGAAGTGGGGAGGGCAATCCCACTTGCTACTCACCTGTGTCCTAGAACTGTTACCTCTTAGGAAATTTTCAGGCAGGGTCAGAAGCCATCAGTCGTTTGAGTAACAAGATGATAAAATCTGTGCATGAACACATTCAATCTGCAAGAAATATATTGACAAAATTGTAACTAGTCATTATTTACTTTAATTGTTCCATGCCAAAATAATTAGAGATTGAAAGCAGAACAAAAGTCACAGTAGACCTACCCCATTATACTCTTTTCATTTACACTTTCAATTTAATTCCCATGATGTGTAGCTCATGGCTGCCTGCCATTCCTGGCTTCTTGAGGCTAGTGCCAAAAGATAGGCCAGTCTCCCTTGAAAGTGTATAAGGGAGGACCGCGCACTGAATTGACACACTCAGTGTGTGTTTAAGGTTGAGACTAAAGACTTTTGGTTGAGAATTATGGCTATCCCCTGGAAAAGTAAGGGCAGCCCTGAGGACTAAGACATCCAGGCTTCTACATGATAGGGGTGGTGCTTTGCACAACTGGGACTGGATCTTGACTTGGCATCTTCTTGTGCTTTCACATCCTAACAAGGCTTCAACTGGAAGGCAACTATCCTGGCCTTGAAGGATAGGCAAAGGATGACAAAGAGGGGCAGTTCATAAATTCAGTAGTTCCTGCCATAGACCACCTATGAAAAGTAACCCTCAAAACTCATTAAGGTGTTATTCTTAGTCCATGGCATTGTAGATATGGCAAAGCTGAAGGCAGTTTCTTGAAAGAAGATACTATTTTTATACCTGACATTTATATGAATTAGCCTCACAAGGCAAAAAAAAGACACCAGGTCCACCCTCCACAGCCTCTCCTAATAAGCAGACTTTACCAGTGTATTTCTGGTGAGAGTGTACCTGGTCATCTATATCAATTTTGACAAAGAAGAAAAACTGTCTCAGCAATGTGATCTTTGCAATTGGTCTTTTTTAAGCCCTCATCAAGAAATCTTGTCTAGCAGATTGTGATACTGTCATATAGACACTAGGGGCACTGTTGCCTAAGAAATACAGATACTGGCAGACCAGCCCTAGGGAAAATTTCTGCAAAGAAAACTCTTTCTGCAGAAAGAAATGTAGTGGTCATTTCAAACAGAAATTACAGAAATGGGAGGGTATTTCTTCTATCTTTTTGTACTATGTTCCTCTCTCTGTCCTCTCATTTTCTCAGAATTAGAAATCCTCCTTTCTCGACATACACATGCATACACATACAAACACACACAAACACACACACACACACACTTCAGTCAAATCCTGGAAAACCTATCTTCACTGGCACATCTAAATGCTAATCCCTTTTATCTACTTGCTCTCAGTGCTCGCTAGTTCTTTTTTACCCTGTTTTGATCTCTCTGGCCCCTGAATCTAGATTTCTTCTTCTCAGTGCTTCCAAATGTCTCTATCTAAAACTCAAATTTAATCTCTTAGCATTTCCCTGCATAGAAACCTCGAATAATACAGGATGCTCCATCTCATACATCAAGGGCTGGCAAAATATTTCTGCAAAGGGCCAAATAGTAGTTATCTTAGCCTCTGTGGGCCATATGGTCTCTACTGCAACAATTCAATTCTGCAGTCATCACACAAAAGCAGCCACAGACAATACATAAGTGAATGGATGGCTGTATTCCAATAAATTTTTATTTACAAAAACTGGTAATAGGCTAGCTTTGACCAGCTGCCTGTAGTTTCCTTGACTTAGTATTATCAAGCATAGCCTCCCTTCAGCGAAACTTGCTCCCTATTCCTGGTTTTTGATATTTCTCTAGCATGAAGACAAGACATCCTCATTCCACATACCCATGAACTAATTCATATAGAAAGCCTGCTCTGTTTATCCCAGCAGTCCATCAGCCCCACTCACTTTCTGACTCTGAAATATGCAAGCATAGAGTTCCATAGTAGGATAAACTAGTAGGAATACTCACCAAGCACCACATAAAATACTTACAATAGAGGCAGAGATATGAGGACTACTAAGAGATTTCCTACCAAGTCACTGTGAGGGCAGTGTTAATGAGACAGGAGTATTTAATCATAGGCAAAATAACAATAATAGTAGGTAACACAGAAAGAAGAAATGATTGAAGGGAAGTAGTAAAGGCAGAGAAAGCTACTAGGAGATTTTCTGTTTCTACTCACCTTCGTTCAAGGATCTTTGGCCTCTTATGAGGTAGCAAAGCATAATATTGAAGAGCCTTGGCCACGGAGTCAGGCTACCTAAGTTCTCAATATTGGCTCAATCACTTACTTTCTATATGAATTGTAGGCAAGTCTGTGTCTTAATTACTACATCTCCAAACAGGGAATGATAATGGTATAACCTCTGAGAGTTTTTAACATGATTAAACAAACGGTGCACAGAAAGCAGTTAAAGCAGGGCCTCAGCCAAGATGGCCAAATAGGAACAGCTACCAACATGAGAAACACAAAAAACAAATGATTTCTGCATTTCCAACTGAGGTACCAGGATCATCTCACTGCGGATTGTCAGAAAGTGGGTGTAGGACAATGGGTGTAGCACAGTGAGTGTGAGCCGAAGCAGGGAGAGGCATCGCTTCACCTGGGAAGTGCAAGGGGTCAGGGAATTCTCTTTCCTAGCCAAGGAAAGGGGTGACAGACGGCACCTGGAAAATCGGGTCACTTCCACCCAAATACTGCGCTTTTCTCACAGTCTTACCAAATGGCACATCAGGAGATTATATCCCGTGCCTGGCTCGGAGGGTCCCACGCCCACGGAGCCTCACTCATTGCTGGCACAGCAGTCTGAGATCAAACTGCAAGGCCGCAGCGAGGCTGGGGGAGGGGCGCCCGCCATTGCCAAGGCTTGAGTAGGTAAACAAAGTGGCCAGGAAGATCGAACTGGGTGGAGCCCACCCCAGGTCAAGGAGGCCTGCCTGCCTCTGTAGACTCCACCTCTGGGGGCAGGGCATAGCCAAACAAAAGGCAGCACAAGCCTCTGCAGACTTAAATGTCCCTGTCTGACAGCTTTGAAGACAGTAATCGTTCTCCCAGCATGCAGCTGGAGATCTGAGAACGGACAGACTGCCTCCTCAAGTGGGTCCCTGACCCCCGAGTAGCCTAACTGGGAGCCACCAACCAGTAGGGGCAGACTGACACCTCACAAGGCCAGGTACTCCTCTGAGACAAAACATCCAGATGAAGAATCAGGCAGCAACCTTTGCGGTTCACCAATATGAGCTGTTCTGCAGGCTCCGCTGAGGATATCCAGGCAAACAGGGTCTGAAATGGACTTCCGGCAAACTCCAACAAACCTGCAGCTGAGGGTCCTCACTGTTAGAAGAAAAACTAACAAACAGAAAGGACATCCCCACCAAAACCCCATCTGTACGTCACCATCATCAAAGACCAAAGGTAAATAAAACCACAACGATGGGGAAAAAACAGAGGAAAAAAAATGAAAATTCTAAAAATCAGAGTGCCTCTCCTCCTCCAAAGGAATGCAGCTCCGAACCAGCAATGAACACAGGTGGATGGAGAATGACTTTGACGAGTTGAGAGAAGAAGGCTTCAGACGATCAAACTACTCTGAGCTAAAGAAGGAAGTTGAATCCATGACAAAGAAGTTAAAAACCTTGAAAAAAGATTAGACAAATGTCTAACTAGAATAACCAATGCAGAGAAGCCCTTAAAGGACCTGATGGAGCTGAAAACCATGGCACGAGAACTACGTGATGAATGCACAAGCCTCAGTAACCGATGTGATCAACTGGAAGAAAGGGTATCAGTGAAGGAAGATCAAATGAATGAAATGAAGCGAGAAGAGAAGTTTAGAGAAAAAAGAATAAAAAGAAATGAACAAAGCCTCCAAGAAATATGGGACTATGTGAAAAGACCAAATCTACGTCTGACTGGTGTACCTGAAAGTGACGGTGAGAATGGAAACAAGTTGGAAAACACTCTGCAGGATATTATCCAGGAGAACTTCCCCAATCTAGCAAGGCAGGCCAACATTCAGATTCAGGAAATACAGAGAATGTCACAAAGATACTCCTCGAGAAGAGCAACTCCAAGACACATAATGGTCAGATTCACCAAAGTTGAAATGAGGAAAAAATGTTAAGGGCAGCCAGAGAGAAAGGTCGGGTTACCCACAAAGGGAAGCCCATCAGACTAACAGCTGATCTCTCAGCAGAAACTCTACAAGCCAGAAGACAGTGGGGGCCAACATTCAACATTCTTAAAGAAAAGAATTTTCAACCCAGAATTTCATATCCAGCCAAATTAAGCTTAATAAGTGAAGGAGAAATAAAATCCTTTACAGACAAGCAAATGCTGAGAGATTTTGTCACCACCAGGCCTCCCCTACAAGAGCTCCTGAGGGAAGCACTAAACATGGAAAGGAACAACTGGTACCAGCCACTGCAAAAGCATGCCAAATTGTAAAGACAGTCGAGGCTAGGAAGAAACTGCATCAACTAACGACAAAACAACCAGCTATCATCATAATAACAGGATCAAATTCACACATAGCAATATTAACTTAAATGTAAATTGCCTAAATGCTCCAATTAAAAGACACAGACTGGCAAATTGGATAAAGAGTCAAGACCCATCAGTGTGCTGTATTCAGGAAACCCATCTCATGTGCAGAGACACACATAGGCTCAAAATAAAGGGATGGAGGAAGATCTACCAAGCAAATGAAAACAAAAAAATGCAGGGGTTGCAATCCTAGTCTCTGATAAAACAGACTTTAAACCAACAAAGATCAAAAGAGACAAAGAAGGCCATTACATAATGGTAAAGGGATCAATTCAACAAGAAGAGCTAACTATCCTAAATATATATGCACCCAATAAAGGCGCACCCAGATTCATAAGGCAAGTCCTTAGAGACCTACAAAGAGACTTAGACTCTCACACAATAATAATGGGAGACTTTAACACCACACTATCAACATTAGACAGATCAATGAGACACAAAGTCAACAAGGATATCCAGGAATTGAACTCAGCTCTGCACCAAAAAGACCTAATAGACACCTACAGAACTCTCCACCCCAAATCAACAGAATATACATTGTTCTCAGCACCACACCACACCTATTCCAAAACTGACCACATAGTTGGAAGTAAAGCACTCCTCAGCAAATGTAAAAGAACAGAAATTATAACAAACGGTCTCACATACCACAGTGCAATCAAACTAGAACTCAAGATTAAGAAACTCACTCAAAACTGCTCAACTATATGGAAACTGAACAACCTGCTCCTGAATGACTACTGGGTACATAACAAAATGAAGGCAGAAATAAATAAGTTCTTTGAAACCAACGAGAACAAAGACATAACATACCAGAATCTCTGGGACACATTTAAACCAGTGTGTAGAGGGAAATTTATAGCACTAAATGCCCACAAGAGAAAGCAGGAAAGATCTAAAATTGACACCCTAACATCACAATTAAAAGAATGAGAGAAGCAAGAGCAAACACATTCAAAAGCTAGCAGAAGGCAAGAAATAACTAAGATCAGAGCAGAACTGAAGGAAATAGAGAGACAAAAAACCCTTCAAAGATCAATGAATCCAGGAGCTGCTTTTTTCAAATGATCAACAAAATTGATAGACTGCTAGCAAGACTAAAAAAGAAGAAAAGAAAGAAGAATCAAATGGACGCAATACAAAATGATACAGGGGATATCACCACTGATCCCACAGAAATAAACTACCATCAGAGATTACTACAAACACCTCTACGCAAATAAACTAGAAAATCTAGAAGAAATGGATAAATTCCTCGACACATACAATCTCCCAAGACTAAACCAGGAAGAAGTTGAATCTCCGAATAGACCAATAACAGGCTCTGACATTGAGGCAATAATTAATAGCTTATCAACCAAAAAAACTCCAGGACCCGATGGATTCACAGTCAAATTCTACCAGAGGTACAAGGAGGACCTGGTACATTCCTTCAGAAACTATTTCAATCAACAGAAAAGGAGGGAATCCTTCCTAACTCATTTTATGAGGCCAGCATCATCCTGATACCAAAGCCTGGCAGAGACACAGCAAAAAAAGAGAATTTTATACCAATATCCCTGATGAACATCGATGCAAAAATCCTCACTAAAATACTGGCTAACCGAATCCAGCAGCACATCAAAAAGCTTATCCACCATGATCAAGTGGGCTTCATCCCTGGGATGCAAGGCTGGTTCAATATACACAAATCAATAAAGGCAATCCAGCATATAAACAGAACGAATGACAAAAATCACGATTATCACAATAAATGGAGAAAAGGCCTTTGACAAAATTCAACAACCCTTCATGCTAAAAACTCTCAATAAATTAGATATTGATGGGACATATCTCAAAATAATAAGAGCTATCTATGACAAACCCACAGCCAATATCATACTGAATGGGCAAAAACTGGAAGCATTCCCTTTGAAAACTGGCACAAGACAGGGATGCCCTCTCTCACCACTCCTATTCAACATAGTGTTGGAAGTTCTGGTCAGGGCAATTAGGCAGGAGAAGGAAATAAAGGGTATTCAATTAGGAAAAGAGGAAGTCAAATTGTCCCTGTTTACAGATGACATGATTGTACATCTAGAAAACCACTTCGTCTCAGCCCAAAATCTCCTTAAGCTGATAGGCAACTTCAGCAACGTCTCAGGATACAAAATCAATGTGCAAAAATCACAAGCATTCTTATACACCAATAACAGACAAACAGAGAGCCAAATCATGAGTGAACTGCTATTCACAATTGCTTCAAAGAGAATAAAATACCTAGGAATCCAACTTACAAGGGATGTGAAGGACCTCTTCAAGGAGAACTACACACCACTGCTCAATGAAATAAAAGAGGATACAAACAAATGGAAGAACATTCCATGCTCATGGGTACGAAGAATCAATATCGTGAAAATGGCCATACTGCCCAAGGTAATTTACAGATTCAATGCCATCCCCATCAAGCTACCAATGACTTTTATCACAGAATGGGAAAAAACTACTTTAAAGTTCATATGGAACCAAAAAGAGACCACATTGCCAAGTCAATCCTAAGCCAAAAGAACAAAGCTGGAGGCATCACGCTACCTGACTTCAAACTATACTACAAGGCTACAGTAACCAAAACAGCATGGTACTGGTACCAAAACAGAGATATAGACCAACGGAACAGAAAAGAGCCCTTAAAAATAATGCCACATATCTACAACTATCTGATCTTTGACGAACCTGACAAAAACAAGCAATGGGGAAAGGATTCCCTATTTAATAAATGATGCTGGGAAAACTGGCTAGCCATATGGAGAAAGCTGAAACTGGATCCCTTCCTTACAACTTACACAAAAATTAATTCAAGATGGATTAAAGACTTAAATGTTAGACCTAAAACCTTAAAAACCCTAGAAGAAAACCTAGGCAATACCATTCAGTACATAGGCATGGGCAAGGACTTCATGTCTAAAACACCAAAAGCAATGGCAACAAAAGCCAAAATTGATAAATGGGATCTAATTAAACTAAAGAGCTTCTGCACAGCAAAAGAAACCACCATCAGAGTGAACAGGCAACCTACAGAATGGGAGAAAATTTTTGAATTCTACGCATCTGACAAAGGGCTAATATCCAGAATCTACAAAGAACTCAAACAAATTTACAAGCAAAAAAACAAACAACCCCATCAAAAAGTGGGCGAAGGATATGAAGAGACACTTCTCAAAAGAAGACATTTATGCAGCCAAAAGACGCAAGAAGAAATGCTCATCATCACTGGCCATCAGAGAATTGCAAATCAAAACCACAATGAGATACCATCTCACACCAGTTAGAATGGTGATCATTAAAAAGTCAGGAAACAATAGGTGCTAGAGAGGATATGGAGAAGTAGTAACACTTTTACACTGTTGGTGGGACTGTAAACTTGGTTCAACCATTGTGGAAGTCAGTGTGGCGATTCATAGGGGATCTAGAACTAGAAATACCATTTGACCCAGCCATCCCATTACTGGGTATATACACAAAGGATTATAAAACATGCTGCTATAAAGAAACATGCACACGTGTGTTTATTGCAGCACTATTCACAATAGTAAAGACTTGGAACCAACCCAAATGACCAACAATGATAGACTGGATTAAGAAAATGTGGCACATATACACCATGGAATACTATGCAGCCATAAAACAGGATGAGTTCACGTCCTTTGTAGGGAGATGGATGAAGCTGGAAACCATCATTCTCAGCAAACTACCACAAGGACGAAAAACAAAACACTGCATGTTCTCACTTATAGGTCGGAATTGAACAATGAGAACACATGGACACAGGAAGGGGAACATCACACGCTGGGCCCTGTTGTCGGGGGGTAGGGGGGAGGGATAGCATTAGGAGATATACCTAATGTTAAATGAAGAGTTAATGGGTGCAGCACACCAACATGGCACACGTATGTATATGTAACAAACCTGTATGTTGTGCACATGTACCTTAAAACTTAAAGTATAATAAAAAAAAAGCAGTGCCTAGCACATGGTAAGCAGTCAGTAAGTTTCAGCTATTATTACTGTGAGAATCTGGGGATAGAGCCAGCACTCACAGAACAGTCAGGTGGTGAGGAGTCTGCATTCTTTGGCATGGCTAGTTGTGTCCCAGGATCTGCATTCCAGAACTTCCATTCTGACACAAGATAGAGTGTTGCCTAGCAAATGTATACACAAAGTCCCGCTGTTCTAGAATTTTATAAAGTTGGGCTCTTAGTCAAAGCGAAGGAAGGAAGGGTCCTTTCAAATAAAGAATTTACTAACAAAGCATTTTTTTCCTGCCAGTGAAATCAGTGAGGAATTCCTGTAGATTTTATCATAACATGTAACAAATCTAGACCTCACCAAACCTTTTCTCTTCTTGCTCTCCTTTTCCTTTTAGAGGTTTATTATCTCTCATACAGAATATTTCCCGTTTTCTGTTTCACTTCTTTCCATCTGTCGTCCATTCTTTTCAAAGTGGTATTTGTATAAATCAACTCCCAATAGACTTTTCACTGCTCAACTTAAATGTTCATTTCCTCACCACTACTTGATGAACAAATCCCCAATTCCTCTGCTGAATACTTAAGGTTCACTATATAGCTCCATTCCACTATTTTGAGTGATTTGCATCCATACTTAATTAACTACATGGTTAGTATTTTTATATTAAATTTATTTTAAATTCAGTTTTTATAATAAAGCAAAATGGTATTTTTGGTCTACAGTTCCATGAATTTTTACACAGGCATAGGCTCATATAACACTATCATAATCATGACAAAAGACAGCTACAGTATCCAAAATACTCCCTCATGCTATTACTTTGTAGTCATATCCTATCACCACCCTTAACTCCTGAGACCCACTAATCTGTTTTTCGACACTTTAATTTTGTCTTTTTGAGAAGGATCTATAAATGGAATATTATTCTATGCAACATTTTGAGACTGGCTTTTTTTCATTCAGTATAATGCCTTTGAGAATTGTCCAACTTGCATCTATGTATAGCTTACTCCTATTTGTTCCTGAGTAATATTCCATGGTATAAATGTACTGTAATTTGCTTATTCATTTACTTGTTAAAGGCATCTGGATTTTTCCTACCTTTTAGCTACTATGAATAAAGCCAGTATAACATTTGTGTACAAAGTTTTGTGTGGATATATGTTTTCTTTTTTTTTGGTTAGAAAAAATAATGTTTTTATTTGGAGAATATATTTAAAACTCAGCATAAAACAAAACCCAAGAACAAATACAATTAAACCTAAAAGTGAAACATTTAATTCTACTGCTTCCTATTTCTCCAGATCCATGTTAGCTAAACATGTCACCTGTTACATTTTTAATGTCCTTTCACTAATATTTCTGGTGGGCTTAATTTGGAAGGGAGAGTAGAATTACCCTGTGATACTTTGGAGGTATGTTTTACTGGCTACAGGATGGGACAATGAGTTTTTGGGCAGCTCTACAGAGCTTAGCCATGTCCCACTGCAAAGGAGACTAGCAAAGAAAGAAAGGAAAGGCATCAGATGCAGATGATGGGAGCCTAGGCAGGATGGCACTGAGAAGAAAAAGAGAGTGAAAAATGGAAGGAAGATAACAGTGAGGCAGGTATGCTGGGAAATTATAGAAAGAGCTCTATCAATAAACCTTGTGCCTCAAAATGGCCAAACTTTCAGAGTATTCCACAGACAAAGTAAAGTTTTTAAAAACTCTGTTAGTTACATGCTTGCTAGTCTTCTATTTTGAATGAGTAAAACCCTATCTAACAATTACTAATAATCATATCTTCAGTGCCACCAAAGGCTTTAAAAATGATACACTTTGATATTTTCCAATAGTTACATTTCTTTATTCCTTTCTTAGTCTCATTTTTTAAAATATGAGAAATGCTCCTTTTTATTTTCTTAACTAAACTGAAAGTCATGAAACAATTCTGAAATAATAATGGCATTACTTATCTTAAGCTAACCAAATGAGGGGTTAACGGTTTGCCATAATTATTATTGAGTGATTTTCCTGGATGACATCTAACTTTCAAGTAAAGATAATGTTTCAAAAATTTATTTGTGGGTACTTAAAAACTAAATTATCATTAATTTAAAGTCTTCACAATTTTCTTCTTTATTGACTTCAAGGAAGCATTTATACAGATGTCTGTTCACTGGAAAAATCTTGAACCATTGGCTACATTTAAAAATCATGACAAAACCAAATTGAGTAAGTGAAGATAGAGTTAAGAGGCTGACAATGAAGTAGAGAGATGGCCAAATCTTTGATAGGCCCACCTGCTGTTGCTTTCTACTTTTGATTTCCCGAATCAGAGTAAGAATACACTGACCATCACATTACAGTCATTTTTTTTTTTTTTTTTTTTAGGGACCATGGTATAAAAACTTTAATTGGTTTTATTTTTGCTGTCATTTTTCAGTGTGTATCTGTCTCCCTTCCTCATTTTTAACCCTCTTGAGACTGGATAGAGATTTCCCAAGCAAGTATAAAAGTAATTATATTCAAAGACAGATTTTTTTTTTCTTCCTAAAGGTATCAAGTTAATTGTCTTTTCTGGGGCTAATTGTCTTTTCTTTGGTCCAGGTGTGAAATGACAGCTTGGTGCCAATGATAGTTTGCATTTGTAAGTCCTTTTCATATACATGATCTCATTTTGTCCTCCAGATGTCTCTGTGGTTTGTTCTTTTTGTTCCATTGCTCAGATGAGTAAACTGAGGTACCACTTGGCAAAGCTCGCAGAATCAGTGTCAGCTCTGCTGTGAATGCTGCTGTTTTCCCATCTTGTTCTACCACTACACAACACAGCAGTGGGGAAGCTACAGGGTTCCTTGTTCTCTAGCTGGCCAGAGCCCCTGAGCTTCCCTGTGGCTGGCAAAGGCAAGTTGGCTTGAGACAATGTTTTCACTGGTTGGTAGGAGAATGAAGACCTTCCCAGCAATGCAGCGAGTTGGAAAAGGAGCATAGCTTTATGCAATAGTTTCCTGGGACAGCTCTAACAAAGTACCAGCAACTGGGTGGCTTAAGACAACAAAAATTTATTAGCTCATAGTTCTGGAGGCCAGAAGTCTGAAACCAGGGTGTTGGCAGGGCCACGGTCCCTCTGAAGTCTCTAGGGAAGATTCCTTCCTCGCCTCTTCCCGGCTTCTGGTGTTACCGGCAATCCTTGGCGTTCCTTGGCTTGTAGTGGCCTCACTCCAGTGGCCACTTCCATCATCACATGGTTGTCTTCCCTGTGTCTCTGTGTCCACATCTCTCTATCTCTCTAAGGACACTAGGGATTAGATTTGCAGTACGGCCTACTACAGTATGACCTCATCTTGACTTGATGACATCTGTAAAGACCCTGTATTCAAATAAAGTCACATTCACAGGTACCAGGTGTTAAGACTTCAACATGTCTTTCTCAGCCCACAACACCTCATCTTAGTCTAGCCTTCCTGCTGGTTTGATTTAAAAATTACCCTTTTAATACACAAAATTATAGTGCTCATAGATGGTAGTTTTTATTTTATAAATGTATGAGACTCAACAAAACAGCAAACCCTTATATTTTTATCACTCAAATGAACAACTGACATATGTTTTCTTACAATATTTTTTAAGAACAAAAATATTACAAATGTAGATTTAAAAACTAATGTTAACCATCTTCACACATTATCTTCTCTTTTTGCAGAGAGCAGTGGTTCTCAACCAGGACAGTTTTGGGGGTGCTATTGTCATCTAGTGGGTAGAGGGCAGGGATGTTGCCAATCATCCAGCAATGCAAGGAGAGCCTGCAACAAGGAATTATCTAGTCCTAAATGTTAATAGCACTCAGGTTGAGAAACTCTATTTTAAAGAGAAGAATAATCATGATATTGACCTGCATCCTTCTAGAAATATTATTCATTCTTTTTCATACATTTACAAGTCCGAAAGGTATTGTATTGTGGTATTGTATTGTGCATGAGTATTCTCTTTTTTCTTTTTAATTTATTATTATTATACTTTGAGTTTTAGGGTACATGTGCACATTGTGCAGGATAGTTACATATGTATACATGTGCCATGCTGGTGCGCTGCACCCACTAACTCGTCATCTAGCATTAGGTATATCTCCCAATGCTATCCTTCCCCCTTCCCCCCACCCCAAAACAGTCCCCAGAGTGTGATGTTCCCCTTCCTGTGTCCATGTGATCTCATTGTTCAATTCCCACCTATGAGTGAGAATATGCGGTGTTTGACTTTTTGTTCTTGTGATAGTTTACTGAGAATGATAATTTCCACTTTCATCCATGTCCCTACAAAGGACATGAACTCATCATTTTTTATGGCTGCATAGTATTCCATGGTGTATATGTGCCACATTTTCTTAATCCAGTCTATCATTGTTGGACATTTGGGTTGGTTCCAAGTCTTTGCTATTGTGAACAATGCCGCAATAAACATACGTGTGCATGTGTCTTTATAGCAGCATGACTTATAGTCCTTTGGGTATATACCCAGTAATGGGATGGCTGGGTCAAATGGTATTTCTACTTCTAGATCCCTGAGGAATCGCCACACTGACTTCCACAAGGGTTGAACTAGTTTACAGTCCCACCAACAGTGTAAAAGTGTTCCTATTTCTCCACATCCACTCCAGCACCTGTTGTTTCCTGACTTTTTAATGATTGCCATTCTAACTGGTGTGAGATGGTGATCTCATTGTGGTTTTGATTTGCATTTCTCTGATGGCCAGTGATGGTGAGCATTTTTTCATGTGTTTTTTGGCTGCATAAATGTCTTCTTTTGAGAAGTGTCTGTTCATGTCCTTTGCCCACTTTTTGATGGGGTTGTTTTTTTCTTGTACATTTGTTGGAGTTCATTGTAGATTCTGGATATTAGCCCTTTGTCAGAGGAGTAGGTTGCGAAAATTTTCTCCAATTTTGTAGGTTGCCTGTTCATTCTGATGGTAGTTTCTTTTGCTGTGCAGAAGCTCTTTAGTTTAATTGGACCCCATTTGTCAATTTTGGCTTTGGTTGCCATTGCTTTTGGTGTTTTAGACATGAAGTCCTTGCCCATGCCTATGTCCTGAGTGGTAATGCCTAGGTTTTCTTCTAGGGTTTTTACGTTTTTAGGTCTAATGTTTAAGTCTCTTATCCATCTCGAATTGATTTTCGTATAAGGTGTAAGGAAGGGATCCAGTTTCAGTTTTCTCCATATGGCTAGCCAGTTTTCCCAGCACCATTTATTAAATAGGGAATCCTTTCCCCATTGCTTGTTTTTGTCAGGTTTGTCAAAGATCACATAGTTGTAGATTTGCGGCATTATTTCTGAGGGCTCTGTTCTGTTCCATTGATCTATATCTCTGTTTTGGTACCAGTACCATGCTGTTTTGGTTACTGTAGCCTTGTAGTATAGTTTGAAGTCAGGTAGTATGATGCCTCCAGCTTTGTTCTTTTGGCTCAGGATTGACTTGGCAATGTGGGCTCTTTTTTGGTTCCATATGAACTTTAAAGTAGCTTTTTCCAATTCTATGAAGAAAGTCATTGATAGCTTGATGGGGATGGCATTGAATCTGTAAATTACCTTGGGCAGTATGGCCATTCTCACGATATTGATTCTTCCTATCCACGAGCATGGAATGTTCTTCCATTTGTTTGTATCCTCTTTTATTTCCTTGAGCAGTTGTTTGTAGTTCTTCTTGAAGAGGTCCTTCACATCCCTTGTAAGTTGGATTCCTAGGTATTTTATTCCCTTTGAAGCAATTGTGAATGGGAGTTCAATCATGATTTGGCTCTCTGTTTGTCTGTAATTGGTGTATAAGAATGCTTGCGATTTTTGCACATTGATTTTATATCCTGAGACTTTGCTGAAGTTGCTTATCAGCTTGAGGAGATTTTGGGCTGAGATGATGGGGTTTTCTAGATATACAATCATGTCATCTGCAAACAGGGACAATTTGACTTCCTCTTTTCCTAATTGAATATCCTTTATTTCCTTCTCCTGCCTCATTGCCCTGGCCAGAACTTCCAACACTATGTTGAATAGGAGTGGTGAGAGAGGGCATCCCTGTCTTGTGCCAGTTTTCAAAGGGAATGCTTCCAGTTTTTGCCCATTCAGTATGATATTGGCTGTGGGTTTGTCATAGATAGCTCTTATTATTTTGAGATATGTCCCATCAATACCTAATTTATTGAGAGTTTTTAGCATGAAGGGTTGTTGAATTTTGTCAAAGGCCTTTTCTGCATCTATTGAGATAATCATGTGGTTTTTGTCTTTGGTTCTGTTTATATGCTGGATTACATTTATTGATTTGCGTATATTGAACCAGCCTTGCATCCCAGTGATGAAGCCCACTTGATCATGGTGGATAAGCTTTTTGATGTGCTGCTGGATTCGGTTAGCCAGTATTTTATTGAGGATTTTTGCATTAATGTTCATCAAGGATATTGGTCTAAACTTCTCTTTTTTCGTTGTGTCTCTGCCCGGCTTTGGTATCAGGATGATGCTGGCCTCATAAAACGAGTTAGGGAGGATTCCCTCTTTTTCTATTGATTGGAATAGTTTCAGAAGAATGGCACCAGTTCCTCCTTGGACCTCTGGTAGAATTCGGCTGTGAATCCATCTGGTCCTGGACTCTTTTTGGTTGGTAAGCTATTCATTATTGCCACAATTTCAGATCCTGTTATTGGTCTATTCAGAGATGCAACTTCTTCCTAGTTTAGTCTTTGGAGAGTGTATGTGTCGAGGAATTTATCCATTTCTTCTAGATTTTCTAGTTTATTTGCATAGAGGTGTTTGTAGTATTCTCTGATGGTAGTTTGTATTTCTGTGGGATCGGTGGTGATATCCCCTTTATTATTTTTTATTGTGTCTATTTGATTCTTCTCTTTTTTATTCGACTTGCTAGCAGTCTATCAATTTTGTTGATCCTTTCAAAAAACCAGCTCCTGGATTTGTTAATTTTTTGAAGGGTTTTTTGTGTCTCTATTTCCTTCAGTTCTGCTCTGATTTTAGTTATTTCTTGCCTTCTGTTAGCTTTTGAATATGTTTGCTCTTGCTTTTCTAGTTCTTTTAATTGTGATGTTAGGGTCTCAATTTTGGATCTTTCCTGCTTTCTCTTGTGGGCATTTAGTGCTACAAATTTCCCGCTACACACTGCTTTGAATGCGTCCCAGAGATTTTGGTATGTTGTGTCTTTGTTCTTGTTGGTTTCAAAGAACATCTTTATTTCTGCCTTCATTTCGTTATGTACCCAGTAGTCATTCAGGAGCAGGTTGTTCAGTTTCCATGTAGTTGATCAGTTTTGAGTGAGATTCTTAATCCTGAGTACTAGTTTGATTGCACTGTGGTCTGAGAGATAGTTTGTTATAATTTCTTTTCTTTTACATTTGCTGAGGAGAGCTTTACTTCCAAGTATGTGGTCAGTTTTGGAATAGGTGTGGTGTGGTGCTGAAAAAAATGTATATTCTGTGGATTTGGAGTGGAGAGTTCTGTAGATGTCTATTAGGTACACTTGGTGCAGAGCTGAGTTCGTCTCCTGGGTATCCTTGTTGACTTTCTGTCTCGTTGATCTGTCTAATGTTGACAGTGGGGTATTAAAGTCTCCCATTATTAATGTGTGGGAGTCTAAGTCTCTTTGTAGGTCACTCAGGACTTGCTTTATGAATCTGAGTGCTCCTGTATTGGGTGCATATATATTTAGGATAGTTAGCTCTTCTTGTTGAATTGATCCCTTTACCATTATGTAATGGCCTTCTTTGTCTCTTTTGATCTTTGTTGGTTTAAAGTCTGTTTTATCAGAGACTAGGATTGCAACCCCTGCCTTTTTTTGTTTTCCATTTGCTTGGTAGATCTTCCTCCATCCTTTAATTTTGAGCCTATGTGTGTCTCTGCACGTGAGATGGGTTTCCTGAATACAGCACACTGATGGGTCTTGACTCTTTATCCAATTTGCCAGTCTGTGTCTTTTAATTGGAGCATTTAGTCCATTCACATTTAAAGTTAGTATTGTTATGTGTAAATTTGATCCTGTCATTATGATGCTAGCTGGTGATTTTGCTCGTTAGTTCAGGCAGTTTCTTCCTAGTCTCGATGGTCTTTACATTTTGAGATGATTTTGCAGCGGCTGGTATCAGTTGTTCCTTTCCATGTTTAGCGCTTCCTTCAGGAGCTCTTTTAGGGCAGGCCTGGTGGTGACAAAATCTCTCAGCATTTGCTTGTCTGTAAAGGATTTTATTTCTCCTTCACTTATTAAGCTTAGTTTGGCTGGATAGGAAATTCTGGGTTGAAAATTCTTTTCTTTAAGAATGTTGAATATTGGCCCCCACTCTCTTCTGGCTTGTAGATTTTCTGCTGAGAGATCCGCTGTTAGTCTGATGGGCTTCCCTTTGTGGGTAACCCAACCTTTCTCTCTGGCTGCCCTTAACATTTTTTCCTCATTTCAGCTTTGGTGAATCTGACAATTATGTGTCTTGGAGTTGCTCTTCTCAAGGAGTATCTTTGAGACATTCTCTGTATTTCCTGAATCTGAATGTTGGCCTGCCTTGCTAGATTGGGGAAGTTCTCCTGGATGATATCCTGCAGAGTGTTTTCCAACTTGGTTCCATTCTCCCCGTCACTTTCAGGTACACCAATCAGACGTAGATTTGGTCTTTTCATATAGTCCCATATTTCTTGGAGGCTTTGCTCGTTTCTTTTTATTCTTTTTTCTCTAAACTTCACTTCTCACTTCATTTCATTCACTTAATCTTCCATCACTGATACCCTTTATTCCAGTTGATTGCATTGGCTCCTGAGGCTTCTGCATTCTTTACGTAGTTCTCGAGCCTTGGTTTTCAGCTCCATCAGCTCCTTTAAGCACTTCTCTGTATTGGTTATTCTAGCTATACATTCTTCTAAACTTTTTTCAAGGTTTTCAACTTCTTTGCCTTTGGTTTGAATATCCTCCCGTAGCTCGGAGTAATTTGATCGTCTGAAGCCTTCTTCTGTCAGCTTGTCAAAGTCATTCTCCGTCCAGCTTTGTTCCGTTGCTGGTGACGAACTGCGTTCCTTTGGAGAAGGAGAGGCGCTCTGCTTTTTAGAGTTTCCAGTTTTTCTGCTCTCTTTTTTCCCCATCTTTGTAGTTTTATCTACTTTTGGTCTTTGATGATGGTGACGTACAGATGGGTTTTTGGTGTGGATGTCCTTTCTGTTAGTTTTCCTTCTAACAGACACGACCCTCAGCTGCAGGTCTGTTGGAGTACCCAGCCATGTGAGGTGTCAGTCTGCCCCTGCTGGGGGGTGCCTCCCAGTTAGGCTGCTCGGGGGTCAGGGGTCAGGGACCCACTTGAGAATGCAGTCTGCCCATTCTCAGATCTCCAGCTGCGTGCTGGGAGAACCACTGCTCTCTTCAAAGCTGTCAGATAGGGACATTTAAGTCTGCAGAGGCTACTGCTGTCTTTTTGTTTGTCTGTGCCCTGCCCCCAAATGTGGAGCCTACAGAGGCAGGCAGGCCTCCTTGAGTTGTGGTGGGCTCCACCCAGTTAGAGCTTCCGGGCTGCTTTACCTAAGCAAGCCTGGGCAATGTCGGGCGCCCCTCCCCCAGCCTCACTGCCGCCTTGCAGTTTGATCTCAGACTGCTGTGCTAGCAATCAGCAAGACTCCGTGGGCGTAGGACCCTGGGAGCCAGGTGTGGAATATAATCTCCTGGTGCGGCGTTTTTTAAGCCCGTCGGAAAAGCGCAGTATTCAGGTGGGAGTAACCCAATTTTCCAGGTGCTGTCTGTCACCCCTTTCTTTGACTAGGAAAGGGAACTCCCTGACCCCTTGCGCTTCCCGAGTGAGGCAGTGCCTCGCCCTGCTTCGGCTCGTGCAAGGTGCTCCCACTGTCTGGCACTCACTAGTGAGATGAACCCGGTACTTCAGATGGAAATGCAGAAAGCACCCGTCTTCTGCATCGCTCATGCTGGGAGCTGTAGACCGGAGCTGTTCCTATTCAGCCATCTTGGCTCGATACTCCCACTTTCTACACAACAAAGTATAAGTATTAGAGAACACTAACAAATACTTCATACTATGGAATGCAAAAAGGAGAATAGCATTCATTCATCATAAGTAGAATCTTGCTGGGCAAAGAATATAAGGAGGACCGAAATTTCATGAGACAATGATAAGGTGATTGCTAAAAGATGCATAATAACAGGTAAGAATAATCTAATAGAGAACTTTAAAATATCTATTACCTGGTGTTTGGAAACCAGAGTTATCTCAAAGAAAAACACATCTAAAAGTTCTCACAGAATTCTGTGAAGATTTTTTGCAGTGGAGGAAGTGGGTGTGAAGGGGGCAATGCATTTGCAATGAAATTTGACTTCTCCATGAGCAAGACATCCTTAATATATTTTTTAAAAAGTTATTTAAAAGGAATTCCTATTTATAACATTTTCCCACTAAAAATCCAAAGTTAAGACATTTTACTCATGTCAAGTATGCTACTCCTCAGCAATATTTTTGGTCACCTGCACTCACAATTTATAAAAAGAAATTTAGTTTATTGCTTCAAGGAAATAAAGGTTATCCACATTTTCCAAATTGTTGTAAAATCACTATAGAAAAAGTATTAAGGGCTGGGCGCGGTGGCTCATGCCTGTAATCCCAGCACTTTTGGAGGCCTAAGCAAGCAGATCACAAGGTCAGGAGATGGAGACCATCCTGGCTACCACGGTGAAACCCCATCTCTACTAAAAATACAAAAACAAAATTAGCCGGGCGTGGTGGTGGGTGCCTGTTGTCCCAGCTACTCTGGAGGCTGAGGTGGGAAAATGGCATGAACCCAGGAGGCGGAGCTTGCAGTGAGCCGAGATTGCACCACTGCACCCTAGCCAGGGCGACAGAGCAAGACTCTGTCTCAAAAAAGAAAAAAAGAAGAAAAAAAAGAAAAGAAAGAAAGAAAAAGTATTAAGAATAAAAATAGAATTATTAAATTCTAGTGACTTCCTAAATTAGATCTATTCAGTTTGCCTTATCTAACCCAGGTTAACCTACTGCCAACTTCCCACCTGCAAACATAGGCACAGGTATGGTCTTCTTCTGGAGTCCCTAGTGGACATGTGATAGCTAGTAACAAAAGTTGCATGAGAAAACTGAAGTTTAATACTTAAAATAACCAAGTGAATGAAACAAACCCGGAATAGAAAGTAAAGCCTCTAGAAGAGGCACTGCCAATTTTTAGCAATGTCTATGTATTTTAATCCTTGGATGTTAAAAATGTGATGTTAAGTAGAAATACTAGTTTGGGGAAAAATTATATCTAGTCTTTAACCACACAGGTTTTCTTTGGTTCACCTTAAAAAAAAGAATATTTTATTCAATTTAACATATAAGCAAACATATGTTCATTTATTTTCCTTTTGTTTCTACTCTCCTGCACTCTCTCACTTATTTGTTTCAGTAGACAAGAAATGCACCATATCCCCCTGCCTGGATGGGTGTTTTTGGAGAAGAACAAGCATATAGACTAAAATCCTCTGTTTGGAAACCAGCCCAATTCAAGGAGGGTTTTGATGCACTGTGGTGAATTTTTGGCAATGAGCGGGTCAGCAGCTTAATAGAGGTGAGAATTTGGGGAAAGAGTGGTCTCTCATCTCTTTTCTTTTTGAGGCACTCTGCCATTAATCTCTTCATGGCTTTTGGACAGTTACTCCGTACCTTACTGAGATCTGGAGATAGGTATCCTTGTCCCACCATAAAAATTATCTGGTCCCTGTTGTTGATGTTTGAATAAGGTAACTGTCCAGTCATCAATTCATACAGAACAATCCCAAATGCATATATATCTGACTGAAAGCTGTATGAATTTTTATCTTGCATTCTGATGACTTCTGGTGCCATACACAAAAAAGATCCAGACAACTGTTCAAACTGATGGGACCCACTCCATCAAGATTTCACTGTGGCTAGACCAAAATCACCTATTTCCACTGTGAGGTCTTCATGAAGAACTATATTATTACTCTTGAGGTCTCTGTGGATGACTGACTTGGCGTGTCAGTAATCCATGCCCTGTGCAGTCTGTTGTGCAATATCTATAAGTTTGATCATCTCAGATTTGGTCTCAATTATATGGAGAAGGTAATACAAGCTGGAGCCCTAACACCACTGGGTGACAATAGCCAGTTGTGGCTTTGTGGAATAGCCCATGAAGAGTAGGATATTCATGTGTTATGTTTTCCTGAGTACTCCTCCTTCATTTTGAAGGCTTCTACCTGGTGAGGTGTAGGTGCTGCCACATTCAACATTTTCACTGCCACAACACCATGCCACTTTCCCTTGTAGACTGTTCCAAATGATCCAGATCCAATTCTTTGTCCCACTGTAATCTGCCCATCAGGAATCTCCCAATCATCATTCAAGTCCTGTCTACCAAGTGTTTTCATTTGATTCCTGTCTTCTGAGGATGAAGATGACTTCCTTTCTCACTGAAGTCCTGGAGATTTCTGTAAGGCTTTCACGTTAGTGAGTGACCCAGGCAGGGGGTGTGGCAGACAAACCTGTGGTTGAGCCTCCAACACCACGAAATCCTTGGTCTCTGATCAAGTCATCAATATCGTCAGGTTCTATTGTGCTTATATGCACATTGGGAGCTGATGAGGACCGGTCTCGCCCAAATTGATTTCAGTGATCTTCATCTGCTGGTCGGAAGGGCTGTGGAATTGGAGTGGATTTTGAAGGAGACAGATTGGTGAGAATTTGGGGCCCAGTAGAATCTGAGGGGGGTGCCGAAGGAGATGATCCAGATGTAAGGGCAGTCTCTGCTAAGGAGGCCTCTTCCTGGGGTATTGAGTGGCGTTCAAAGAACTTGGAGAAAAACAACAAATCAAGATGGTCATAATTAACAAACATCAGTGGAACAACTGTACTACAACACTGGTGAAATTTATAACCACATGTTTGACAGCGGAAACCCTGGAAAAGCAGCTTTTGACAAAAGTCACAAAATGCTAAGGTGAAAAATGTTTTTCGTACAAAGTTGTGTGTTGTAAGTGGAACATTCTCCAACACTTCCACATGCAATTCTTCTCCAGTAAGCCAGGAAACACCAGTGTCCTGGTCAATTGTTTTCTTCTCTCCATCCTGAATTCTGTAAACAGCACCGCACTCTGGGATTAGACCTCTCATCATCAGTGCTTTCTTTAGACTGTCTCCGACTGTAACTCCACACCTTGCAGGTACCACTGTCCTCTGCTTGTTGGGCAGGAAGACTCTAACAATAGGTTTTTGTGGTGACTTGGGGTTGCTCCATGTCACATCTATGGGATTTCGGAAAACTGAAAGAGATAAAGGTTTTTTGAAAAACTGAAAGAGAAAAACTGAAAGGCTAAAAGAGGAAGAAGATTTAACGGTGTCCATTGATGCAGAGCTAGAAACAGAAAAATCAGTTCCGTTCCCCAGACATTCCAATAACTGTTGTTCTCTTTGTTGGAGTGTATCTAGCTTGCTGGTGTATTCCTCATAGGCCTCCAGATATATTGATGGTGGAATATGCTCCCCAACAAATTTGTATAATAGGGCCTCTATATGTTCCTGTGTCAACTTAATTGATTATTTGTTTGATATTCCATACTTTGTGGTATTTGTCCTACTGGTTCTTTCTTTTCTTCACTTCTTTGGGATTAATTTTTATTAATCATTTGTTCTCTTCTGTTGGTTTAAAAGTTAAAAGTCTGGTTTCTACATTTTTAGAAGATAACCTCCACGGGAATGGCAGGATCCACAGCCGAAGAGGCCGCGGCGCCAGCGCCGGCTTCAGGCTCCACGTCCCCGTTGAATAGAGCCTCACCGGGCTCCGCACTGCCACCACCGCCACTGCTCAGCACCGCCATCTTATCATATGTTTTTATTTATCTGGGATAAATGCCCCCAAATTCAGTTACTGTGTCATGTGGTAATTGCATGTTTACTTTTTAAAGAAACTTCCAAGCTGTCAAGGACAAGGCAGGTGAAGGCAGTCAAGGGCAAAGCAATAATAGCAATAACAATAATAATAATGATAAGGCAGACTCACTCCAAAAGGGAGAATACTAAGGATGCTGGACAAGGTCTTAAGATGGCACAGCTAAAAGACAAAATAAAAGCTTTATAGCTTTTTTCGTATGCTGATCAACAGTGCAGCTCCAGAAGAGTGAAGTTAAACAGAATGGTGAAATTCCTTTATTGCTCCTCCCCATACACTGACTACCAAAGCAAGATGACTTGCTACCTCAGTAACTATGATTCCACCTTTACTTAATAGCATTAAGGATGGCCGAACAGACTGCAACAGAGAGATATTAGGTTCTTCATTTTGTAGGGCTGGGGCTACAGAGAAAAATAAATAGCAAAGAGTCTTAGAAGCAAATACTTCCCCAAATCTCCCAGAATAGGCTATCCAGCTGTACTACCCACCTCCATTTTCCCAGAACTGGTAGAGCTTCAGGAGAACATGGCTTGAAACATGCCCCTAAATAGTAGGTTTTAAGGGCCTATACTACATTTAAATCATTCTATGTTAAGTATTTGAGACATTTACAAGTATAGAAGTTAGAAAAATTGGGTTTAAGTGGATAAAGTACCAGAGCAGGAAGTCAATGGAGTGTAATGGTTAAGGATGTGGATACTGACAGACTATGGCTGATATTCCTAACATACAAAGAAGTCTTAAAAATTGAAAGAATAAAACCAAAAACCCAATAGAAAAATAGGGAAAATACATAAACAGACAATTCACACAAAAGATATAAAAACTATCCTCAAACATATGAAAAGATGTTCAAACTCAGAATTAGAGAAATGCAAAGTAAAAATACACTGAGACACAATTTCTCACCTATCAGACTGGCAAAAAAAAATGACAACATATTCTGTTGGTGAAGCTGCGAGGAAACAGGCACTCTCATACGTTCATGGTGAGAAAGCAAACTGCTACAACACTTCTGGTGGCAAATCTGCAATACCTAATAAATCTACACATGTCCTTACTTTTTTAAAAAAAGTAACACCTTTATTGAAATAAAATTTACCTACTATACAATTCACCCATTTAAAGTGAATACACCCATACAATTTAATGATTTTTCATAAATTCACAGTTGTGTAACCATCACCACAATCAGTTTTACATCATTTTCATCACCTCTAAAATAAATTGCATTCACAATAGCAGTCGCTCCTCATTTCCCCTCATAGCTCTCCCCACCCCTATCACTGGGGTGGGGAGAGCAACCACTAATACCTACTTTCTGTCTCTAAATAGCAGAGAGGCATATGGGAAGATATAAGACTGAACATTCACAGCAATCATGGGGAGAATACTAGACTTGCACAGGTTATAAAATTGAGGATTCAAGCTATATTTACCTAAATTCCCAGGGAAAGGGAAGTTCTAAGTCACATCTCCTTAAAAGTGAATGACACTCTTGATTTTAGACCAGGTATACCACTCTCCCTTCTAGGTCAACCTCGAGAAATTTGCTTTTAAGAATAAAAGAGAAGCTCTTGAATTATGCCTTGTTGAGCCGTGGCATCCACATGATTCTAGAAAGAACATCAGAAGTTCTATACCAAGAAGCCCTCCAGACAATCAAGGAAGTTTAGCAGCTCTGGAGTTGCTAGATATTACTGATAGCTCTTTATCATCCTTTCATAATGACTACTCCATTAAATTACTTTTCCAGAAAAGGAAAGAGTTATACAGAAAATAGTTTTGCACTCCAGGAGCTAAAAACTTTTATCTCATAATATTGGCCTATGAATATCCAACCATTTACCCAGGCAAATTATTTCTCTGTTACTAATTTTCAAAAAAAGTTGGTCATGGCTAAAGGCAGCTACCCAATGTGAGAAAAGAAAGTTGATGATCAAGGCCATTACTGAGACATGAATATATCACATTGAAAAATCCCAAAATTTCATGGAGGTCTAATGTAGCTATCACAACTTACAGCATCAGAGGCCAGAAAAACTCAGTCTATACCAAGTGAGGTAGACTTTCTTTTATAGATAACTTTCCCTTTTCCTATTATCCTGAAGTTAAAACAGGCCCCCAATCTTAGGAGGTAGCAGAGGAATATGATTCTGAAAGATTATCTGGCCTGAGAACATTCTGATTATCAATTTCAGCTATAGCACATTAGATAAATGGTGAGCGATAAAGATTTAATTTAGCAGGCCTGAGACTGCTATTCTTAGAAGGGCCTAGTTACAAGGTTGGCCCTTAGCTGACATCTTCAACCTTGGTTCTGGAGTATTCTCAGTCAACAGATAACTTATTAGGGAGGCACACTGTAGATTATATGTGCAAGCTATATGATTTTTGCTGAACACCTACCTTCCTGCTGAATCCGGCAATTTGGCATGTGCCAGGCAGGGAGTGCTTGTGTGATTAGTCCCCAGTAAAAATCTTGGGTCCTGAGTCTCTAGTGTGCTTCCATGGTAGAAATCATTTCACACAAGTTGCTGCATTTTCATTGCTGGGCTAAATGTGCACTCTGTGTCACCCCTCTTAGAGAAGGAGAGCATACAAGGCTTGCACAGGGATTTCTCTAGACTTCACCTGTGTCTTTTTCCTTTATAATCTAGTTGTGTATCCTTATTGCATCACTAGAATAACTCTTAACCGTCCATAAAACTATGTGCAGGCAAGATGATGGAATAGAAAGCTCCACCAATCATCCCCATCACAAGGACACCAAGTTAACAACTATCTACACAGAAGAAAAAAAATACCTTCATAAGAACCAAAAATCAGGTGAGCATTCATAGTACCTGGATTTAACTTCATATTGTTGAAAGAGGCACTGAAGAGACAAAAGTCCTGAATTGCTGATGCTACCCCTCCTCCACTCTGGCAGCCACAGAGTGGTGCAGAGAGCTTCTCTAGGCACTGGGGGAAAAAGAACACAGCAGTTATTACCCAATGAACTCAGTGATGTCCAGTTAGAGCAGAAAGGAAAACCAGACCAAACTCAGCTGATGCCCACTTACGAAGGGAGCATTTAAATCAGACCTTGCCAGAGGAAAATTATCAATTCTAGAAGTCCAAACTTGAGTGCCTGCAAACCTCACCACTAAAGACAATAGAATCCTGTGTCCCCAAGTAAACTTGAAAAGCAGTCTAGGACATAAGAACTGCAACTCTTAGGTGAGTTCTAGTGCTAAATTAGGCCTGGAGACAGTGAACTGAGTGAGCACATGACATACTAAGACATCAGCTGGGGCAGCCAAGGGAATATTGCCATCACCCCTCCATAACTTCAGGCTGCACAGCTCATGGCTTCAAAAGAGACTCCTTCCTTCCACTTGAGGAGAAGAGAGAGAAGAGAGGGGAGAACTTTATCTTACATCTAAGATACCAGCTAAGCCACAGCAGGATAGGGCACTGGTCAGAGTCCTAAGGGCCCCATTCTAGGCCCTAGATCCCAGACATTTCTAAACACACCCTGGGCCAGAAGAGAACCTGCTGCCTTGAAGGAAAGGACCCAGTCCTGACAGCATTTATCACATGCCAACTGAAGAGCCCTTCGACCCTAAATAATGAGCAGTGACACCCGCCTTGGGTGAATGGCTAAGACTTGTTGGCTTCAGGTGAGACTCACAGCACATGACCAGCTGTGGTGGCTACAGGGCAAAACTCCATCTGCTTGAGAAAAGCAGAGAAAAAAGGAAAGGGGACTTTGTCTTTCACATTAGGTACCAGCATGGCCACAGTGGGGTAGAGCAATTCCAGGACTTGAATCTTGGACAGCATTTCTGGACCTGCCCTGGGCCAAAGGTGAGAATATTGTCCTGAAGGGTGAGTCCCAGGCCAGGGAGCATTCATAACAAGCTGACTTAAGAGACTTTGGGTGTTAAGGGAGTATAAGCAATAGTCTGGCAGTACTCTTTGTGGGCTGGGGTGGCAGTAGCTAGGAAATGAGGTTCCTTTGCCTTTGAAAAGGGGAGGGAAGAGTTTTTAAAAATGTGTTTTGTGGTTTGACTGCCAGCACAGTCACAAAGCAATAGAACACTTGGTAGACTTCAAAGGAATTTGACTGTAGTCCGTGAATTCCAAACAGCACTTCTGGACCCACCAGGGAATTGGGGGACCTTGCCTCCCTGAAAGGAAGGACACAGTCCAGGCTAGCTTTGCCACTTGATGATTGTAGAGCCCCAGGACTTTTGAGTGAACACAGGAAATAGAAAGGGAGGGGTCACAGCAGGCCTTAGGCTAGATCCAGCACTGGGCTGGCTTCAGGTCTGACCCAGTATAGCCATAGTGGTGGTGGCCACAGGGTTGCTTGTGCCACCCATTCCCAGCTTTAGGTGGCTTAGAAAGAGAGATTCTTTTTTGGAAGAAAGTAAGGGAAGAGAACAAGTCTCTGCCTGGTAATTCAGAGAATTCTTCCCCATCTTGTCCAAGACCATGAAGAGGATACCTCTATAAGTCGGTGAAAACCACAATGTTACTATATTTGGGGTGTCCCCTAGAGCAGAAGCAGCTTAGGTCATGACACCCAAGTCCTTTCAAATACTAGAAAACCTTCCCAAGAAGGGCAGCTACAAATAAGCCCAGAGTGAAGACTATAATAAACACCTAACCTTTCAATGCCCAGACAAAAAAGAACACCTACTAGCATCAATATCAACCAGGAAAATATGACTTTATCAAATGAACTAAGTAAGAGCCCAGGATGAATCCTGGAGAAACAGAGATATGTGACTTTTCAGACAAAGAATTCAAAATAGCTGTGTTGAGAAAAATCAAATAAAAGCATTCCTACAGGACTTAGATAATAACCTCAAAAGGACAAACTAAGAGTTATTGCCCTAAAACAGGAAGTAGAGAAATAGACAGGAATAGAAAGTTTATTCAAAGGCATAACAGAGAATTTTCCAAACCCAGAGAAAGATATCAATATCTAAGTAAAAGAAGTTTGAAGAATACCAAGCAGATTTAATCCAAAGAAAACTACCTCAAGACATTTAATAATCAAACTCCCAAAGGTCAAGGATAAAGAAAGGATCCTAAAAGCAGAAAGAGAAAAGAAACAAATAACATACAATGGAGCTCCAAAACACCTTGCAGCAGACTTTTCAGTGGAAACCTTACAGGCCAGGACAGAGTAGCATGACATATTCAAAGTGCTGAAGGAAAAAAACTTTTACCCTAGAAAGGTATATCCAGAAAAAATATCCTTCAAACATAAAGGAGAAATAAGGACTTTCCCAGACAAACAAAAGCTGAGGAATTTCATCAATACCAGACCTGTCCTATAAGAAATGTTAAGAGCAGTATTTCTTGCGATAGTTTACTGAGAATGATGATTTCTAATTTCATCCATGTCCCTACAAAGGACATGAACTCATCATTTTGTATGGCTGCATAGTATTCCATGGTGTATATGTGCCACATTTTCTTAATCCAGTCTATCATTGTTGGACATTTGGGTTGGTTCCAAGTCTTTGCTATTCTGAATAATGCCGCAATAAACATACATGTGCATGTGTCTTTATAGCAGCATGATCGCAAGAACAAAAAACCAAACACCACATATTCTCACTCATAGGTGGGAATTGAACAATGAGATCACATAGACACAGGAAGGGGAACATCACACTCTGGGGACTGTTGTGGGGTGGGGGGAGGGGGGAGGGATAGCATGGGGAGATATACCTAATGCTAGATGACGAGTTAGTGGGTGCAGCGCACCAGCATGACACATGTATACATATGTAACTAACCTGCACAACGTGCACATGTACCCTAAAACTTAAAGTATAATAAAAAATAATAATAATAATAATAAAAAGAGCAGTATTTCAACCAGAAATAAAAGGACAATAATGAGCAATAATCATCTGAAAGCACAAAACTCACTGGTAGTAGTAAGTACACAGAAGAACACAGAATATTATAACACTATAACTGTGGTGTGTAAACTACTCTTATCCTAAGTAAAAAGACTAAATAATGAACCCATCAAAAATAATGACTACAACAAATTTTCAAGACATAGCCAATACAATAAGATATAAATAGAAACAACAAAATATTAAAAAGCGAGGGACGAAGTTCAACCATAAGGTTTCTACTTGTTTTATTTTGCTCATTTGTTTGTTTATGCTAACAGTGTTAAGTTATCAGGTTAAAACAATGGGTTGTAAAATAGTATTTGCAAGCTTCATGGCAACCTCAAACCTAAAAACATACAATGGAGACATAAAACATAAAAAGCAAGAAACAAAATCATATCACCAGAGAAAATCCCCTTCACTAAAGGAAGACACAAAGGAAAGAAGGAAGGAAGAAAAGACCACGAAACTACTGGAAAACAAATAACAATATGGTGAAAGTAAGTTTTTACTTACCAATAATAACATTGAATGAAAATGGACAAAATTATCCAATCAAAAAGACACAGACTAGCTAAATAAATAAGTAAAAAGACCCACTGATGTGTTGTCTACAAGAAACACACTTCACGTATAAAGACACACATAGCCTGAATATAAAGGGAGAGGAAAAAGTTATTCCATGTCAATGAAAAAAAAAAAAAAAAAAGTAGGAGTAGCTATACTTATGTCAGCCAAAACAGATTTCAAGACAAAAGCTATAAGAAGACACAAAGAACATCACTACATAATGATAAAGGGGTCAATTCAGCAAGAGGACATAATGATTATAAGTATATATGCACCCAACACTGGAACACTCAGATATATAAAGCAAATATTACTAGAGCTATAGAGAAAGATAAGACCTGGTACAATAATAGCTGAAGACTTCACCACCCCACTTTCAGCACTGGACAAAGCTTCCAGACAGAAAAATCAACAAAGAAATATCAAACTTCATCTGCACTATAGACCAAATGGTTCTAATAGATAATTACAGAACATTTCATCCAATAACTACAGACTACACATTCTTTTCCTCAGCACAGGGATCATTCTCAAGGACAGACCATATGTTAAGTCACAAATCATAATACATTCAAAAACACTGAAATAATATCAAGTAGCTTCTCTGAAGACAGTGGAATAAAACTAGAAATAAATAACAAGAGGAATTTTGGAAATGATACAAATACATGGAAATTAAACAATATGCTCCTAAATGACAAGTGGGTCAATGAAGAAATTAAGAAAAAAAATGAAAAATTTCTTGAAATAAATAATAATGGAAACACAATACACCAAAACCTATGGGACACAGCAAAAGCAGTACTCAGAGGGAAATTTATAGCTATAAGTGCCTACATCAAAACAGAGAAAAAACTTCAAACAAAAAAATTGATGATGCGTCTTAAAGAACTAGAAAAGAAAGAGCAAACCAAACTCAAAACTAATACAAAAAAAGAAATAACAAAGATTAGAGCAGAAATAAATGAAATTGAAATAAAGAAAACAATACAAAAGGTCAATGAAACAAAAAGTGGCTGTTTTTGAAAAGTTACACAAAATTGACAAAGTTTTACCTAAACTAAGAAAAAAAGAGAGGAATTAAAGTAAATTAAATCACAAATGAAAAAGAAGACATTACAACTGACACTGCAGAAATTCAAAAGATTGTTAGAGATTCAAAAGATTGTTAGTGGTTACTAGGAGTAACTATATGCCAATAAATTGGAAAATCTAGAAGAAATAGGCAAATTCCTAGATACATACAAGCTATCAAATGTTTTTTACCAAATGTTTAAAGAAGAACTAATACTAATTCTACTCAAACTATTCCCAAATACAGAGGAGGAGGAAATACATCCAAACTCATTCTATAAGGCCAGTAGTACGATGATACCCAAACCAGAAAAAGACATTAAAAAACAAAAAAAAAAACTACCGGACAATATCTCTGATAAATACTGATGCAAAAATCCTCAAACAATACTATCAAACTGAATTCAACAATACATTAGAAAGATCATTCCTCATGACCAAGTGAGATTTATCCCTAGGACGCAAGGATGGTTCAATACACACAAATGAATCAATATGGTATATCATATCAACATAACAAAGGATAAAAATTATATGAGCACTTCAATTTATGCTGAAAAAGTTGATAAAATTCAACATCTCCTCAGGATAAAAACGCTTAAAAAATTGTGTATAGAAGGAGCAGCACACCTAAACACAATAAAAGCCACATATGACAGACACACAGCTAGTATCATACTGATCCTAGCTAGAACAATCAGACAAAAGAAAGATATAAACAGCATCCACATTAGAAAGAAAGAAGTCAAATTATCCTTGTTTGCTATGGTATAATCTTATATTTGGAAAATCCTAAGACTCCACAGGAAAACTGTTATAACTGATAAATTCAGTAAAGTTTCAGGATACAAAATCAACATACTAAAATCAGTAGCATTTCTATATGCCAACAGTGAACGATCTGAAAAAGAAATTTAAAAAGTAATTCCATTTACAATAGCTACACATGAAATTAAATACTCAGAAATTAACTCAACCAAAGAAGTGTAAGATTATTATAATGAAAACTATAAAACACTGATGAAGGAAATTAAAGAGGACACAAAAATATTGAAAGATATTCAATGTTCATGTATTGGAAAAATAGTATTTTTTAAACGTTCATACTACCCAAAGCAATCTACAGATTCAATGCAATCCTTATCAAACTACCAATGACATTCTTCACAGCAATAGAAAAAAATTCTAAAACTTATATGGAATAACAAAAGACCCAGAATAACCAAAGCTATCCAAAGAAAAATGAACAGAATCGGAGGAATCACATTATCTGACTCAAATTATACTACATAACTATATGACTCAAATTATACTACATAACTATAGTAACCCAAATAGCATGGTACTGGCATAAAAACAGACATGCAGACAAATGGAACAGAATACAGAACCCAGGCACACATCCACCCACCCATCATTGAAGTCATTTTTGACAAAGTTACCAAGAGCATACACTGAGGGAAAGACAATCTTTTTGATAAATGGTGCTGGGAAAACTGGATACCCATATGACAAAAAATAAAACTAGACCCCTATCTCCTGCCATATACAAAAATCAAATCAAAATGGATTAAATACTTAAATCTCAGATCTCAAACTATGAAGCTACTACAAGAACACATTGAATAAGATCTCTAGGACATTGGTCTGGGCAAAGTCTTCTTCAGCAATACCCCACAAGCACAGGCAACCAAGTCAAACATGGACAAAAGCTTCTTCACAGTAAAGGATATGATCAACAGAGTGAATAGACAACCCACAGAATGGGAGAAAATATTTGCAAACTACCCATCTGACAAAGGATTTATAACCAGAATATATAAGAAGCTCAAACAAATCTACCGGAAAAAAATCTAATAATCCCATCAAAAAATGGGCAAAATATTTGGATAGACCTTTCTCAAAAGAAGACATACAAATGGCAAGTAGGCATACGAAAAGATCATTAGAGCAATGCAAATCAAAACTATAATGTGATATCATCACATCCCAGTTAAAATGAATTATATCTAAAGACAGGCAATAACAAATGCTGGTGAGGATGTGGGGAAAAAGAAAGCCTCATATAGTGTTGGTGAGAATGTAAATCAGCACAACCACTATGGAGAACAGTTTGGAGGTTCCTCAGAAAACTGAAAATTGAGCTACCATAAAATCCAGCAATCCCACTGCTGGGTTATTGCAGGATCGGGCCAGCAGCCCGCAATGCAACGGGGCTCTTTCTTTGTTCCCAGACAGATCGGCAGGTCAAGAAATAATAGACACACACAAGATAGTGAAAGCTGGGTCCAGGGGGGTCACCGCCTTCTGGTCCCACGATGCTGCCAATGCACTGGATATACCAGCATTTATTATTAAGTTTAGTGAGGGTGGGGGTAGGTTAGTGAGAGATTTAGGGTCATTTGATTATGATGTGAGATGGTCACATGGGGATGAAGTAATTCTCTAACATAACATCTGTATGCAGAAGTACAGTATACAGAGATAAGAATTTACAATATAGTGTGTGTATCAGTAATTTCTAACAGAACCTTAAAACTGAAACACAGTCTTTCCATAACCTATGATTAGCAAGATATTTATCAGCAGTAACAGTTGCAGCAAAAGCTGGTTACAAACAATCCATAGAAACAGGACGTGAAGCTAGACAACTGGTTAGACCAGAAATTCTCAGAAGGGAGTATGTCTTAACCCTAAAGAGGCCTAGAAGAGCCATGGCAAGATGAAGGCGTTTATAGCCCTACCTTATCCATATGAAAAGGCACCCCTCATGTGTCCATTTATAGGCCCTCCACAAGGGTCGCAATCCATTCCCAGAGCTATGAACATCTGCTTTTCTGGGATAGGAATCTTGGTGATATGAAACCTCCCTGACTGCACGTCCATTCATAGGCTCTCTGCAGGAGGAAGCACATCACATGCTGTTGGCTCATTCTGGCAGTCCAACCTGGCATTGTCTTTACACAATCCTGCATGCAATTTTGTATTTACAATAATCAGGAGCATTTCATCTTTTATTCCATAGCAATAGTTTCAGGGGGTCTCCCTACACTGGGTATATACCCAAAGAAAGGAAATCAGTATATAAAAGAGATATCTGCACTTTTTGTTGCAGCACTTTTTACATTAGCTAAGACTTAGAAGCAACCCATGTGTCCACCATCAGATGAATGGATAGAGAACATTTGGTACATAAACACAATGGAGTACTATTCAGCCATAAAAAAGAATGAGATCCAATCATTTACAACATAGACAGAACTGGAGATTACTATGTAAAGTGAAATAAGCTAGGCACAGAAAGGCAAACATCACATGTTCTCGCTTATTTGTGAGATCTAAAACTCAAATCAATTGAACTCATGGATATAAAGAATAGAAGGATGGTTACTAGAGGCTGGGAAGGGTATGGGGGCTGAGGAGGAGGTGGGGATGGTTAAAGGGTACAAAAAATATACGATAAATAAGACCTGCTATATTTAGCACAATATAAGTCTTGTATATTTTTAAATAACTTAAAGAATGTAATTGGATTGTTTGTAATTCAAACGACAAATGCTTGAGTAAATGGATAGCCCATTCTCCATGATGTGCTTACTTCACATTGCATGCCTGTATCAAAACATCTCATGTACCATATACATGCATACATATATGTGTGTGTGTGTGCATATATATATATATATATATATATAAATACACACTATGTCCCCACTTTTTTTAAATAATAAAAAGATTTATAAAAGACTATATGCAGAGCCCTGTGTGTCTTTCTAGCAAATCACAAAACACGGGGATAATCTTGGAAACTTCTCACATAACATGCTTATTCAACTAACTACTAGCAGCTAGTCCCAATGTTCAAAGAGTGTTCTATGTCATAAAAAGAGTAGCCTAAACTTCAGGTACGTGGTTCTTCTTCACTACCTTAAAAAGCCACTGCAGCCCATTCAAAACTCTTAACATGGCTAGTAAGTGAAAAGAAAATCATTCATTCGTGCAAAAGATATTTATCAAGCACCTACTATATGCCAGGCATGGTTCTTTTAGACTGAGGACACAGAGTGTTTATATGGACAGGCACTGCAATCCCAAATGTATTATTCTATCCTATCTTGACCACCAAATTCTCCATTAAATACCATTTCATTGTACTTCAACATGGATCTTTCTCCTTCTTAAAGATATGATACCATATTGGAAGTGGTAGAATCCTCATTAAGATGATAGGTTTTATCCCCTTTCCCGAACTCCCATTCACAACTAGTATTGCCACTTTGTTTATCAAAGAAGTGTCTCATTTCCATGAACTTCATAAAACCTGAAAGTTGACCAAAGATCTCACTTAACATCCAGGTTCTAAAAAGCACTATTGAGAGACTTCTATAACACTGACCCACAATTTCCCCCATACTTAATATTAAGCAATACTACAACCCTGTCAGGCCCCATAGTACCCAGAAGGGATAAAAACCACCCAAGAAGATATACTATAAGACAGCTGAATAGCTCCATGGGAGATATAAATGTGTGGCATGCTGCCTTCTCCTTTTCAGACCTGTCATCATTATCTAACATTGACAATAATATTTGTGGCTATTGAAAAACCATGCCAGCCTTTCAAGTTCCAATTGCTTCCCACCCAAACTATATTAATATCTATTCCACCACTCCCTGCTAGGTCCTACCTATCAATGCCATCCCATGCCTCTCCAACTGCCTAGGAAACTTCATATGGGAAATCAGAATACATAGTGAAATAAGTATTTGACTGCCATTGATACTAATCAGCTCCAATACTTAGCACAATTGGACAGATATCAGCTAGAAGAGCAGTTATAGGAGCTTTCCTGCTACCACAAAACATTTTAAAATATGTCGGAATTTTCCTTCAGGAAAATCTAGGAACAGTGTGCACCAACTCAGTAAAGGGTTATGTCTACCATTTTTCTGTTAATCTGACTGACCCACATAAGTATCATACATTGGCTGACTCATAAACCTAAGCTACATATACTAACAGGCATTTTAGTAATCACCTCAGACCTCTCACACCACCTCTAAAAGCATATTCTCATTCTCTCGTTCTTTCCGACTACACCAACAACCCACTCCAGTTGTTGCTGCCATTGATTCCAAGTTGTCTGCATTTATTCTTGCTCTCATCTTTTAATCTCCCTGGTTCTGGATGTCTGGCTTTGTCTCAGCTTCAAATTCCTGCCTCTAGCCTTCCTTGAGTTGTAATAAACTTCAATCAATCCCCCCTCCTCCTTAACCATCATTTTTCCTAGATTGTTTCTTTTTTTTTTTTTTTTTCAGATGGAGTCTTGCTCTGTCGCCCAGGCTGGAGTGCAGTGGCGTGAACTTGGCTAACTGCAAGCTCCGCCTCCCAGGTTCACACCATTCTCCTGCCTCAGCCTCCTGAGTAGCTGGGACTACAGGCGCTCGCCACCACGCCCGGCTAATTTTTTTTTTGTATTTTTAGTAGAGACAGGGTTTCATCGTGTTAGCCAGGATGGTCTCGATTCCCTGATCTCATGATCTGCCTGCCTTGGCCTCCCCCGCTCTGGCTTTCCTACATTGTTTCAACTCATTCTGTTCTCTGGTTTGGTCACCCCAAGGTACCTTGGATGAAAACTCTCTGCTTCTACCTTGGGCCCACTGAGACTTCCACCGCCAGCCTCACCAATATCCATCCATTTTCTTACAAAGAATGGAAGAGGCTTTGACCATCTAGTGCTGATGTTTATAGTTGTGCTCTTTGGAATTTGAATCTTGTTTTTTTTCTAGACCAGGGTTGGCAAACTAACCATAAAAAATCTGATAGTAAAAAAAAAAATGGCTTTGGAAATCCAGCCTAACATGTAAAAATGTTAGAATCATCACTCTGTCCTAAGAACAAGTAAAAAGCAAAACAAACTGAAGTTAAAAAGAGTATAACTAATATTCTAAGAAAGCAGATAAAGTGGAATCATGTAAAATGCTCAATCAAAACCATAAAATGTAGAAGAAAGTGAAAGGCAAAAATAGAAAAATAAAACAGGGTCAACAAACACAAAACAGTAACAAATATGGTAAATATTAATCTGAATATATCAATAATAACTTTGAATGCCAATAGTCTAAATATTCCAATTAAAAGATTAAAAAATTGTCAGATTAGATCAAAAAGCAAGACCCAACCTGTTTATTCTCTAAATAAATGCACTTTAAATACAAACACACAAATAGATTAAAAGTAAATGAATAGAGAATAATACACTACTCTCATACTAATCAAAGTAAAATGAAAGTAGCTATATTATTTCCCGACACAGCAGACTTCAAAGTATGGCAAACTGTCAGGGATAATAAAAAGCATTACATAATAATAAAACTGTCAATTCTCCAATAAGATATAACAATCCTTAATGTGCATGTACCTAACAAAAATGTGCCTAAATATGTGAAGCAAAAACTGATAGAATTACAAAGAGAAATAGATGAATCTACTATTACAGTTGGAGATTTCAACATTGTTCTATCAATAATAGAACCAGGAGTGATGTCAGTAAGAAGGCAGACTAGGACGTGCCAGCCCTCATCCTCTAACAAAAACAATAATGTAAATATCCATAGACAAAAATATCTCTGGGAGTGCTCCTGAGTACAATAACAAATCTGTAGCAAACCAGCGGAACACAAAAACTAAGGATGGCCACATAGAAAAGGGTAGGAAGAATTTTATCCTTGTCCTCCTGTACCCCAGGCTAGCATAGCTCAGTACAAAGAGTAATCACCTCAACCATAAGGTCTCCAGAGGGGAAATGAAAGCAAGAGAACCTCAGCAGCCCTTGCCACTACCAAGGACCTCTGCAGCATTCACTGCCGAGGACTTCTACAGTCTTTGCCAATGCAGACCCCACCATCCAGAGTTGCTTGGACTCTACACCACTGCATACTCCTAGAGCTGCAGCTGGTGTGCACTCTTCTAGAGCCAGTAACACAACACCTGTCCCCAAGCCTTGGCTCCACCACATGCACCCACACCCACACCTCAGACCTGTTGCCTCTGTATGCTCCTGCACCTGGTGCCCCTGCACACCCCCATAATTGATGTCCCCTTGCAAACCCAGACCTGGTTCTAATCTGGCATTGATATGCACCCTACCCAACCAGTACCCTCATACCCACTTGCAGGAGAAAATCTTTCCCTATAGAATCTACTCTGTAAAGGCTTCAAGAAGTGACTTCTTCAAATGTACAGAACACAATGCAAGGCTACAAGGAATATGAAAAATCAGAAAACATGATCCCCCGCCACCAAAGGAACATAATAAATTTCCAGTAAACAACTCAAAACAAATGGAGATCTATGAAATTCCCAAAAATAATTCCAAAAATACTCATTACAAATTCACAAAAGCCAGAGACTGGCTGAATGAATTTTAAAAAGTAAGATCCAGTGAAATGCTATATATGAGATTCACTTTAGTCTTAAGGACACATATAATGAAAGCAAAGAGATAGGAATATATATCCCATGTAAATAGTAACTAAAAGAAAGTAGGGGTAGCTACACTTAATCAGACAAAATGGGCTTCAATTCAAAACACTTTTTGTCAAGAAACAAAAAGGTCACTATAAAATGATGAGGATCAACTTGACAGGAAGATATAGCAGTTATAACTAAACCTGGCCTTGTCTCTCTATTTATCAAAAATATTCTTAAAAAATAAAAGAATGGGGGGAGGACCCAAGATGGCCGAATAGGAAGAGCTCCGGTCTACAGCTCCCAGCGTGAGCGATGCAGAAGACGGATGATTTCTGCATTTACATCTGAGGTACCGGGTTCATCTCACTAGGGAGTGTCAGACAGTGGGCGCAGGTCAGTGGATGCCTGCACCATGCGTGAGCCGAAGCAGGGCGAGCCATTGCCTCACTCGGGAAGCGCAAGGGTTCAGGGAGTTCCATTTCCTAGTCAAAGAAAGGGGTGACAGATGGCACCTGGAAAATTGGGTTACTCCTACCCAAATACTGCGCTTTTCCGACGGGCTTAAAAAACGCCACACCAGGAGATTATATTCCACACCTGGCTCCCAGGGTCCTACGCCTACGGAGTCTTGCTCATTGATACCACAGCAGTCTGAGATCAAACTGCAAGGCGGCAGCGAGGCTGGGGGAGGGGCGCCCACCACTGCCCAGGCTTGCTTAGGTAAACAAAGCAGCCCAGAAGCTTGAACTGGGTGGAGCCCACCACAACTAAAGGAGGCCTCCCCGCCTCTGTAGGCTCCACCTATGGGGGCAGGGCACAGACAAAAAAAAAAGACAGCAGTAACCTCTACAGACTTAAATGTCCCTGTCTGACAGCTTTGAACAGAGCAGTGGTTCTCCCAGCACACAGCTGGAGATCTGAGAACGGGCAGACAGCTTGCTCAAGTGGGTCCCTGACCCCTGACCACCGAGCAGCCTAACTGGGAGGCACCACCCAGCAGAGGAAGACTGACACCCCACATGGCAGGGTACTCCAACAGACCTGCAGCTGAGGGGCCTGTCTGTTAGAAGGAAAACTAATAAACAGAAAGGACATCCACACCAAAAACCCATCTGTACGTCACCATCATCAAACACCAAAACTAGATAAAACCACAAAGATGGGGAAAAAACAGAGCAGAAAAACTGGAAACTCTAAAAAGCAGAGCACCTCTCCTCCTCCAAAGGAACGCAGTTCCTCACCAGCAACGGAACAAAGCTGGATGGAGAATGACTTTGACGAGCTGACAGAAGAAGGCTTCAGACGATCAAATTACTCCGAGCTACGGGAGGACATTCAAACCAAAGGCAAAGAAGTTGAAAACTTTGAAAAAAGTTTAGAAGAATGTATAACTAGAATAACCAATACAGAGAAGTGCTTAAAGGAGCTGATGGAGCTGAAAACCAAGGCTCGAGAACTACGTAAAGAATGCAGACGCCTCAGGAGCCAATGCAATCAACTGGAAGAAAGGGTATCAGCAATGGAAGATGAAGTGAATGAAATGAAGCGAGAAGTGAAGTTTAGAGAAAAAAGAATAAAAAGAAACGAACAAAGCCTACAAGAAATATGGGACTATGTGAAAAGACCAAATCTACGTCTGACTGGTGTACCTGAAAGTCACGGAGAAAATGGAACCAAGTTGGAAAACACTCTGCAGGATATCATCCAGGAGAACTTCCCCAATCTAGCAAGGCAGGCCAACATTCAGATTCAGGAAATACAGAGAACGCCACAAAGATACTCCTTGAGAAGAGCAACTCCAAGACACATAATGGTCAGATTCACCAAAGTTGAAATGAAGGAAAAAATGTTAAGAGCAGCCAGACAGAAAGGTTGGGTTACCCTCAAAGGGAAGCACATCAGACTAACAGCAGATCTCTCGGCAGAAACTCTACAAGCCAGAAGAGAGTGGGGGCCAATATTCAACATTCTTAAAGAAAAGAATTTTCAACCCAGAATTTCCTATCCAGCCAAACTAAGCTTCACAAGTGAAGGAGAAATAAAATGCTTTACAGACAAGCAAATGCTGAGAGATTTTGTCACCACCAGGCCTGCCCTAAAAGAGCTCCTGAAGGAAGCGCTAAACATGGAAAGGAACAACCAATACCAGCTGCTGCAAAATCAGGTCAAAATGTAAAGAGCATCCAGACTAGGAAGAAACTGCATGAACTAACGAGCAAAATAACCAGCTAACATCATAATGACTGGATCAAATTCACACAAAACAATATTAACATTAAATGCAAATGGACGAAATGCTCCAATTAAAAGACACAGACTGGCAAATTGGATAAAGAGTCAAGACCCATCAGTGTGCTGTATTCAGGAAACCCATCTCACGTGCAGAGACACACATAGGCTCAAAATTAAAGGATGGAGGAAGATCTACCAAGCAAATGAAAAACAAAAAGAAGCAGGGGTTGCAATCCTAGTCTCTGATAAAACAGACTTTAAACCAACAAAGATCAAAAGAGACAAAGAAGGCCATTACATAATGGTAAAGGGATCAATTCAACAAGAAGAGCTAACTATCCTAAAAATATATGAACATAATACAGGAGCACCCAGATTCATAAAGCAAGTCCTGAGGACCTACAAAGAGACTTAGACTCCCACACATTAATAATGGGAGACTTTAATACCCCACTGTCAACATTAGACAGATCAAGGAGACAGAAAGTCAACAAGGATACCCAGGAATTCAACTCAGCTCTGCACCAAGTGTACCTAATAGACATCTACAGAACTCTCCACCCCAAATCAACAGAATATACATTTTTTTCAGCACCACAAGACACCTATTCCAAAATTGACCACATACTTGGAAGTAAAGCTCTGCTCAGCAAATGTAAAAGAACAGAGATTATAACAAACTACCTCTCAGACCACAGTGCAATCAAACTAGAACTCAGGATTAAGAATCTCACTCAAAACTGCTCAACTACATGGAAATTGAACAACCGGCTCCTCAATGACTACTGGGTACATAACGAAATGAAGGCAGAAATAAAGATGTTCTTTGAAACCAACAAGAACAAAGACACAACATACCAGAATCTCTGGAACGCATTCAAAGCAGTGTGTAAAGGGAAATTTATAGCACTAAATGCCCACAAGAGAAAGCAGGAAACATCCAAAATTGAGTCCCTAACATCACAATTAAAAGAACTAGAAAAGCAAGAGCAAACACATTCTAAAGCTAGCAGAAGGCAAGAAATAACTAAAATCAGAGCAGAACTGAAGGAAATAGAGACACAAAAAACCCTTCAAAAAATTAACGAATCCAGGAGCTGGTTTTTTGAAAGGATCAACAAAATTGATAGACCACTAGCAAGACTAATAAAGAAAAAAAGAGAGAAAAATCACATAGATGCAAAAAAAAAATGATAAAGGGGATATCACCACTGATCCCACAGAAATACAAACTACCATCAGAGAATACTACAAACACCTCTACGCAAATAAACTAGAAAATCTAGAAGAAATGGATAAATTCCTCGACACATACACTCTCCCAAGACTAAACCAGGAAGAACTTGAATCTCTGAATAGACCAATAACAGGAGCCGAAATTCTGGCAATAATGGATAGCTTACTAACCAAAAAGAGTCCAGGACGAGATGGATTCACAGCCGAATTCTACCAGACGTACAAGGAGGAAATGCTACCATTCCGTCCGAATCTATTCCAATCAATACAAAAAGAGGGAATCCTCCCTAACTCATTTTATGAGGCCAGCATCATCCTGATACCAAAGCCGGGCAGAAACACAACAAAAAAAAGAGAATTTTAGACCAATATCCTTGTTGAACATTGATGCAAAAATCCTCAAAAAAATACTGGCAAACCGAATCCAGCAGCACATCAAAAAGGTTATCCGCCATGAACAAGTGGGCTTCATCCCTGGGATGCAAGGCTGGTTCAATATACGCAAATCAATAAATGTAATCCAGCATATAAACAGAACCAAAGACAAAAACCACATGATTATCTCAATACATGCAGAAAAGGCCTTTGACAAAATACAACATCCCTTCATGCTAAAAACTCTCAATAAATTAGGTATTGATGGGATGTATCTCAAAATAATAAGAGCTATCTATGACAAACCCACAGCCAATATCATACTGAATGGGCAAAAACTGGAAGCATTCCGTTTGAAAATTGGCACAAGAGAGGGATGCCCTCTCTCACCACTCCTATTCAACATAGTGCTGGAAGTTCTGGCCAGGGCAATTAGGCAGGAGAAGGAAATAAAGGGTATTCAATTAGGAAAAGAGGAAGTCAAATTGTCCCTGTTTGCAGATGACATGATTGTATATCTAGAAAACCCCTTCGTCTCAGCCCAAAATCTCCTTAAGCTGATAGGCAACTTCAGCAAACCCTCAGGATACAATATCAATATGCGAAAATCACAAGCATTCTTTTACACCAACAACAGACAAACACAGAGCCAAATCATGAGTGAACTCCCATTCACAATTGCTTCAAAGAGAATAAAATACCTAGGAATCCAACTTACAAGGGATGTGAAGGACCTCCTCAAGAAGAACTACAAACCACTGCTCAAGGAAATAAAAGAGGATACAAACAAATGGAAGAACATTCCCTGCTCATGGGTAGGAAGAATCAATATCGTGAAAATGGCCATACTGCTCAAGGTAATTTATAGATTCAATGTCATCCCCATAAAGCTACCAATGACTTTCTTCACAGAATTGGAAAAAACTACTTTAAAGTTCATATGGAACCAAAAAAGAGCCCGCATTGCCAAGTCAATCCTGAGCCAAAAGAACAAAGCTGGAGGCATCACACTACCTGGCTTCAAACTATACTACAAGGCTACAGTAACCAAAACAGCATGGTACTGGTACCAAAACAGAGATATAGATCAATGGAACAGAACAGAGGCCTCAGAAATAACGCCACATAACTACAACTATGTAATGTTTGACAAACCTGAGAAAAACAAGCAATGGGGAAAGGATTCCCTATTTAATAAATGGTGCTGGGAAAACTGGCTAGCCAGATGTAGAAAGCTGAAACTGGACCCCTTCCTTACACCTTATACAAAAATCAATTCGAGATGGATAAAAGACTTAAACTTTAGACCTAAAAATATAAAAACCCTAGAAGAAAACCTAGGCATTACCACTCAGGACATAGGCATGGGCAAGGACTTCATGTCTAAAACACCAAAAGCAATGGCAACAAAGGCAAAATAGACAAATGGGATCTAATTAAACTAAAGAGCTTCTGCACAGCAAAAGAAACTACCATCAGAGTGAACAGGCAACCTACAAAATGGGAGAAAATTTTCGCAACCTACTCATCTGACAAAGGGCTAATATCCAGAATCTACAATGAACTCCAACAGATGTACAAGAAAAAAACAAACAACCCCATCAAAAAGTGGGCAAAGGACATGAACAGACACTTCTCAAAAGAAGACATTTATGCAGCCAAAAAACACATGAAAAAATGCTCACCATCACTGGCCATCAGAGAAATGCAAATCAAAACCACAATGAGATACCATCTCACACCAGTTAGAATGGCAATCATTAAAAAGTCAGGAAACAACAGGTGCTGGAGAGGATGTGCAGAAATAGGAACACTTTTACACTGTTGGTGGGACTGTAAACTAGTTCAATCCTTGTGGAAGTCAGTGTGGTGATTCCTCAGGGATCTAGAACTAGAAATACCATTTGACCCAGCCATCCCATCACTGGGTATATACACAAAGGACTATAAATCATGCTGCTATAAAGACACATGCACACGTATGTTTATTGCAGCATTATTCACAATAGCAAAGACTTGGAACCAACCCAAATGTCCAACAATTATAGACTGGATTAAGAAAATGTGGCACATATACACCATGGAATACTATGCAGCCATAAAAAAAGATGAGTTCATGCCCTTTTTAGGGACATGGATGAAATTGGAAATCAGCATTCTCAGTAAACTATCGCAAGAACAAAAAAGTAAACACCGTATATTCTCACTCATAGGTGGGAATTGAACAATGAGATCACATGGACACAGGAAGGGGAACATCACACTCTGGGGACTGTTGTGGGGTGGGGGAAGGGGGAGGGATAGCATTGGGAGATATACCTCATGCAAGATGACAAGTTAGTGGGTGCAGCGCACCAGCATGGCACACGTATACATATGTAACTAACCTGCACATTGTGCACATGTACCCTAAAACTTAAAGTATAATAATAAAATAAAAATAAAATAAAACAAAATGAAAGAAAAATAAAATACTTAGGGAAAACCTAACCAAGGATGGGAAAAAAATGATACAATGAAAGCTACAAAACAGGGCGGAGGAGCCAAGATGGCCGAATAGGAACAGCTCCGGTCTACAGCTCCCAGCGTGAGCGACGCAGAAGACGGGTGATTTCTGCATTTCCATCTGAGGTACCGGGTTCATCTCACTAGGGAGTGCCAGACAGTGGGCGCAGGTCAGTGGGTGTGCGCACCATGCGCGAGCTGAAGCAGGGCGAGGCATTGCCTCACTTGGGAAGCGCAAGGGGTCAGGGAGTTCCCTTTCCAAGTGAAAGAAAGGGGTGACAGACGCACCTGGAAAATCGGATAACTCCCACCCAAATATTGCGCTTTTCGGACCGGCTTAAAAAACGGCGCACCACGAGATTATATCCCGCACCTGGCACGGAGGGTCCTACGCCCACGGAGTCTCGCTGATTGCTAGCACAGCAGTCTGAGATCAAACTGCAAGGCGGCAGCGAGGCTGGGGGAGGGTTGCCCGCCATTGCGCAGGCTTGCTTAGGTAAACAAAGCAGCCCAGAAGCTCGAACTGGGTGGAGCCCACCACAGCCCAAGGAGGCCTGCCTGCCTCTGTAGGCTCCACCTTTGGGGGCAGGGCACAAACAAAAAGACAGCAGTAACCTCTGCAGACTTAAATGTCCCTGTCTGACAGCTTTGAAGAGAGCAGTGGTTCTCCCAGCACACAGCTGGAGATCTGAGAACGGGCAGACTGTCTCCTCAAGTGGGTCCCTGACCCCTGACCCCCGAGCAGCCTAACTGGGAGGCACCCCCCAGCAGGGGCACACTGACACCTCACATGGCAGGGTATTCCAACAGACCTGCAGCTGAGGGTCCTGTCTGTTAGAAGGAAAACTAACAAACAGAAAGGACATCCACACCAAAAACCCATCTGTACATCACCATCATCAAAGACCAAAAGTAGATAAAACCACAAAGATGGGGAAAAAACAGAACAGAAAAACTGGAAACTCTAAAACGCAGAGTGCCTCTCCTCCAAAGGAACGCAGTTCCTCACCAGCAACGGAACAAATCTGGATGGAGAATGACTTTGACGAGCTGAGAGAAGAAGGCTTCAGATGATGAAATTACTCTGAGCTACGGGAGGACATTCAAACCAAAGGCAAAGAAGTTGAAAACTTTGAAAAAAATTTAGAAGAATGTATAATTAGAATAACCAATACAGAGAAGTGCTTAAAGGAGCTGATGGAGCTGAAAACCAAGGCTCGAGAACTACGTGAAGAATGCAGAAGCCTCAGGAGCCGATGCGATCAACTGGAAGACAGGGTATCAGCGATGGACGACGAAATGAATGAAATGAAGCGAGAAGGGAAGTTTAGAGAAAAAAGAATAAAAAGAAATGAACAAAGCCTCCAAGAAATATGGGACTATGTGAAAAGACCAAATCTACGTCTGATTGGTGTACCTCAAAGTGATGGGGAGAATGGAACCAAGTTGGAAAACACTCTGCAGGATATCATCCAGGAGAACTTCCCCAATCTAGCAAGGCAGGTCAAAGTTCAGATTCAGGAAATACAGAGAACGCCACAAAGATACTCCTCGAGAAGAGCAACTCCAAGACAAATAATGGTCAGATTCACCAAAGTTGAAATGAAGAAAAAATATTAAGGGCAGCCAGAGAGAAAGGTCGGGTTACCCTCAAAGGGAAGCACATCAGACTAACAGCAGATCTCTCGGCAGAAACTCTACAAGCCAGAAGAGAGTGGGGGCCAATATTCAACATTCCTAAAGAAAAGAATTTTCAACCCAGAATTTCATATCCAGGCAAACTAAGCTTCACAAGTGAAGGAGAAATAAAATACTTTACAGACAAGCAAATGCTGAGAGATTTTGTCACCACCAGGCCTGCCCTAAAAGAGCTCCTGAAGGAAGCGCTAAACATGGAAAGGAACAACCGGTACCAGCCGCTGCAAAATCATGCCAAAATGTAAAGACCATCAAGACTAGGAAGAAACTGCATCAACTAATCAGCAAAATCACCAGCTAACATCATAATGACAGGATCAAATTCACACATAACAATATTAACTTTAAATGTAAATGGACTAAATGCTCCAATTAAAAGACACAGACTGGCAAATTGGATAGAGTCAAGACCCATCAGTGTGCTGTATTCCGTAAACCTATCTCATGTGTAGAGACACACATAGGCTCAAAATAAAAGGATGGAGGAAGATCTACCAAGAAAATGGAAAACAAAAAAAGGCAGGGGTTGCAATCCTAGTCTCTGATAAAACAGACTTTAAACCAACAAAGATCAAAAGAGACAAAGAAGGCCATTACATAATGGTAAAGGGATCAATTCAACAAGAAGAGCTAACTATCCTAAATATATATGCACCCAATACAGGAGCACCCAGATTCATAAAGCAAATCCTCAGTGACCTACAAAGAGACGTAGACTCCCACACATTAATAATGGGAGACTTTAATACCCCACTGTCAACATTAGACAGATCAACGAGACAGAAAGTCAACAAGGATACCCAGGAATTGAACTCAGCTCTGCACCAAGCGGATCTAATAGACATCTACAGAACTCTCCACTCCAAATCAACAGAATACACATTTTTTTCAGCACCACACCACACCTATTCCAAAATTGACCACATACTTGGAAGTAAAGCTCTCCTCAGCAAATGTAAAAGAACAGAGATTATAACAAACTATCTCTCAGACCACAGTGCAATCAAACTAGAACTCAGGATTAAGAATCTCACTCAAAACTGCTCAACTACATGGAAACTGAACAACCTGCTCCTGAATGACTACTGGATACATAACGAAATGAAGGCAGAAATAAAGATGTTCTTTGAAACCAACGAGAACAAAGACACAACATACCAGAATCTCTGGGACGCAATCAAAGCAGTGTGTAGAGGGAAATTTATAGCACTAAATGCCCACAAGAGAAAGCAGGAAAGATCCAAAATTGACACCCTAACATCACAATTAAAGAACTAGAAAAGCAAGAGCAAACACATTCTAAAGCTAGCAGAAGGCAAGAAATAACTAAAATCAGAGCAGAACTGAAGGAAATAGAGACACAAAAAACCCTTCAAAAAATTAATGAATCCAGGAGCTGGTTTTTTGAAAGGATCAACAAAATTGATAGACTGCTAGCAAGACTAATAAAGAAAAAAAGAGAGAAGAATCAAATAGCCACAATAAAAAATGATAAAGGAGATACCACCACCGATCCCACAGAAATACAAACTACCATCAGAGAATACTACAAACACCTCTATGCAAATAAACTAGAAAATCTAGAAGAAATGGATAAATTCCTCGATACATACACTCTCCCAAGACTAAACCAGGAAGAAGTTGAATCTCTGAATAGACCAATAACGGGAGCCGAAATTGTGGCAATAATCAATAGTTTACCAACTAAAAAGAGTCCAGGACGAGATGGATTCACAGCCGAATGCTACCAGAGGTACAAGGAGGAAATGGTACCATTCCTTCTGAAACTATTCCAATCAATAGAAAAAGAGGGAATCCTCTCTAACTCATTTTATGTGGCCAGCATCATTCTGATACCAAAGCCGGGCAGAGACACAACCAAAAAAGAGAATTTTAGACCAATATCCTTGATGAACATTGATGCAAAAATCCTCAAAAAAATACTGGCAAACCGAATCCAGCAGCACATCAAAAAGCTTATCCACCATGATCAAGTGGGCTTCATCCCTGGGATGCAAGGCTGGTTCAATATATGCAAATCAATAAATGTAATTCAGCATATAAACAGAGCCAAAGACAAAAACCACATGATTATCTCAATAGATGCAGAAAAAGCCTTTGACAAAATTCAACAACCCTTCATGCTAAAAACTGTCAATAAATTAGGTATTGATGGGATGTATCTCAAAATAATAAGAGCTATCTATGACAAACCCACAGCCAATATCATACTGAATGGGCAAAAACTGGAAGCATTCCGTTTGAAAATTGGCACAAGAGAGGGATGCCCTCTCTCACCACTCCTATTCAACATAGTGCTGGAAGTTCTGGCCAGGGCAATTAGGCAGGAGAAGGAAATAAAGGGTATTCAATTAGGAAAAGAGGAAGTCAAATTGTCCCTGTTTGCAGATGACATGATTGTATATCTAGAAAACCCCTTCGTCTCAGCCCAAAATCTCCTTAAGCTGATAAGCAACTTCAGCAAAGTCTCAGGATACAAAATCAATGTACAAAAATCACAAGCACTCTTATACACCAATAACAGACAAACAGAGAGCCAAATCATGAGTGAAATCCCATTCACAATTGCTTCAAAGAGAATAAAATACCTAGGAATCCAACTTACAAGGGATGTGAAGAACCTCTTCAAGGAGAACTACAAACCACTGCTCAAGGAAATAAAAGAGGATGCAAACAAATGGAAGAACATTCCATGCTCATGGGTAGGAAGAATCAATATCGTGAAAATGGCCATACTGCCCAAGGTAATTTACAGATTCAATGTCATCCCCATCAAGCTACCAATGACTTTCTTCACAGAATTGGAAAAAACTACTTTAAAGTTCATATGGAACCAAAAAAGAGCCCGCATCGCCAAGTCAATCCTAAGCCAAAAGAACAAAGCTGGAGGCATCACACTACCTGACTTCAGGCTATACTACAACGCTACAGTAACCAAAACAGCATGGTACTGGTACCAAAACAGAGATATAGATCAATGGAACAGAACAGAGCCCTCAGAAATAACACCGCATATCTACAACTATCTGATCTTTGACAAACCTGAGAAAAACAAGCAATGGGGAAAGGATTCCCTATTTAATAAATGGTGCTGGGAAAACTGGCTAGCCAGATGTAGAAAGCTGAAACTGGATCCCTTCCTTACACCTTATACAAAAATCAATTCGAGATGGATTAAAGACTTAAACGTTAGACCTAAAACCATAAAAACCCTAGAAGAAAACCTAGGCATTACCATTCAGGACATAGGCATGGGCAAGGACTTCATGTCCAAAACACCAAAAGCAATGGCAACCGAAGCCAAAATTGACAAATGGGATCTAATTCAACTAAAGAGCTTCTGCACAGCAAAAGAAACTACCGTCAGTGTGAACAGGCAACCTACAGAATGGGAGAAAATTTTTGCAACCTACTCATCTGACAAAGGGCTAATATCCAGAATCTACAATGAACTCAAACAAATTTACAAGAACAAAACAAACAACCCCATCAAAAAGTGGGCGAAGGACATGAACAGACACTTCTCAAAAGAAGACATTTATGCAGCCAAAAAACACATGAAAAAATGCTCATCATCACTGGCCATCAGAGAAATGCAAATCAAAACCACAATTAGATACCATCTCACACCAGTTAGAATGGTGATCATTAAAAAGTCAGGAAACAACAGGTGCTGGAGAGGATGTGGAGAAATAGGAACACTTTTACACTGTTGGTGGGACTGTAAACTAGTTCAACCCTTGTGGAAGTCAGTGTGGCGATTCCTCAGGGATCTAGAACTAGAAATACCATTTGACCCAGCCATCCCATTACTGGGTATATACCCAAAGGACTATAAATCATGCTGCTATAAAGACACATGCACACATAGGTTTATTGCGGCATTATTCACAATAGCAAAGACTTGGAACCAACCCAAATCTCCATCAATGATAGACTGGATTAAGAAAACGTGGCAAATATACACCATGGAATACTATGCAGCCATAAAAAATGATGAGTTCATGTCCTTTGTAGGGACATGGATGAAATTGGAAATCATCATTCTCAGTAAACTATCGCATGAACCAAAAACCAAACACCGCATATTCTCACTCATAGGTGGGAATTGAACAATGAGATCACATGGACACAGGAATGGGAATATCACACTCTGGGGACTGTGGTGGGGTGGGGGGAAGGGGGAGGGATAGCATTGGGAGATATACCTAATGCTAGATGACGAGTTAGTGGGTGCAGCACACCAGCATGGCACATGTATACATATGTAACTAACCTGCACAATGTGCACATGTACCCTAAAACTTAAAGTATAATAAAAAAAAGAAGAAAAAAAATAAAAAAAAATAAAAATAAAAATAAAGAAAACTACAAAACAATGAAGAAATTAAAGCAGGCACAAATAAATCACAAGATATTCCATATCCATGAAATGTAAGAATTAATGCTGTTAAACTGTCCATACCACCTTAAGATGTTTACAAATTCGTGTTCCCCATCAAAATTCCAATGGCATTTTTCACAGAAAGAGAAAAACCAATCTTAGTCGTCATATGAAACTACAAAAGACTCTGAATAGCCAAAATGATCTTGAAAAAGTATATCAAATCTGGCCTCACACTTCTTGATTTCAAATTTCAAAGTATATTACAAATCTATAGTAATAAAAACAGTATGATACTGCCATAAAAACAGACACAAAGAACAATGGAAAAACATAGGGAGCCCAGAAATAAACCCATAAATACACAGCCAACTGCTCTTCCACAAGATTGCCAAGAATACAAAATGTTCAAAGAACAGTCTCAATACACTGTATTAGAAAAACTTAATATATTGCTTTTCAGCCTTTTGGCTAAGATGAGGTATAGGAAATCTAGATTATCTCCATGCAAAATAATTAGATTGAACACTTATCTTACACCATTCACCAAAAACAATTCAAAATGGATTAAAGACTTAAACATAAAAAATGAAAACATAAAATTCTGGTGAAAGCTCCGTGACATTGGTCTTCACAGTTATTTCTTGGATCGGACACAAAAACAGTGAGAATAAAAGTAAAATAAACAAGTGGGATTACATCCACCTAAAAAGCTTCTGCACTGCAAAGGAAATAACACAGTGAAACGGCAGTTTACAGAATGGGAGAAACTGTTTGGAAACTATACATCTGGTAAAGTGTTAATATCCAAAATATATAAGGAACTCACACAACTCAAAAGCAAATAAGGAAAACCAGATTAAAAATGGGCAAAAAACTTGAATAGACATTTTTCCAAAGAAGACATACAAACAGGCAACAGGTATATGAAAATGCAAATCAAATATTCATGAGATATCACCTCATACCTGTTAAAATAAATATTACCAAAAAGTCAAAATATAATAAGCATTGGTGAGGATGTGGAAAAAATGAAACATTCATACGTTGTTGATAAAAATGTAAATTGGTAAGCCATTACAGAAAACAGCATAGAGGCTCGTCAAATAAATAAAAATAGAACTATCATTTGACCCAGCAATTCCTCTTCTGGGTACATACTCAAAGGAAGTGAAATCAGCACCTCAAAGAGATATCTGCATTCCTATGCTCACTGCAGCATTATTCACAATAGTCGAGATATGAAAACAATATACATGTCCATAACAGACGAATGGATTAAAAAAATGTAGGGTGTGTGTGTGTGTGTGTGTGTGTGTGTGTGTATACATATATATGTATTTGTGTGTGAGTGTATGTGTGTATAGTAGAAATATTCTCAGCCTTATAAAGAAGAAACTCCTGCCATTCCCAACAACATGGATGAACCTGTACAACACGGTAAGTGAAATAAGCCAGGCTCAAAACAACATATATAAGTGAATATTGCACAATCACTTATATGTGGAATCTAAAGATAGCCAAACTCATAGAAGCAAAAAGTAGAATGGTGATTTCCAGGGGGCTTGGTGGGGCCAGGGTTGGGGGGTGGGCAGCAGGCGTGGAGTGGGAAATGGGGAAATGGTCAAAGTGTACAAAGTTTTATTTATCTGAGATAAATAAGTTTTGGAGATCTAATGTACAGCATTGTTAACAATACTATACTGTAAACTATTTTTTCATTTAAATTGAACTTTATTAAAATAGGTGCCAGTTTTCCTCTCTCCTAGTTCCACTGATGAGCTAGCCCAGAACTATATAACTTTGAGCCAAGTTTCCAAAGATGGTAAAGCTAAGAACAGCAAACTAATAAGGACAAATAGGTCACTTTTGGTAATGACACACAAATTAAACTTTCAAAACATGTGCATAGCTTTATTCATCTACTTAGATCTAACCTTTTCATGGAGCTTCGGCAAAATTAGAGTGTGCAAAATGCATTTCTAAAACTTAATGCAAGCAAAGCTTTCACATTTACACTGTCAGGAAATACACAGAGAAACTAACAAGTCACATTAGGGAGAATTCAATCTTTTCTTTAATGACAAGAATTGCACAGCTTATTATTTTGAGAAAATTGTTGCAGACATAGATATTTAAAATTTTCTAAGCAAGGTGCTTTTAACAACAGAATTTTTAAAGTTAGAAAGAGCTGATAATTTGGAACATAGCTCATACAGAATTCCAAATTAAAGTGGACTCCATTATCTCCCTACATTCTGCAAACAATGCTTTGTATAACACTTCTTTAAAACACTAAAGGAGGCAGCAAGCTGAAACTTTTTTCAAAGCACACAAGAAATGGTGTCATCACATTACTTGAAGAAGGTGCTGAGGGGAAAAGAAAAGGGAGTGAAGAATCCTTTTACTATTTCCCACTACAGAACAGCCACTAACAGACTAACAACAAAAAAGACACAACAAAAACAGTAAATCAACATCCCCAGCTTATAAAATAGTTCCAGTTTGACAAGATCTATAAATAGAGAACACCATTTGGACAACAGAATGAGCATTTCATACTGCATAAAAATTAATGAGGTGGTAAGAACCATCAACTATCTCAGGCATTACTACATGGCCTTTCAAAAATTTTTTTAACGTACGTGCAAGGCACATTGATACAAAAATAGCTCTCTGGCCAACAAATATATTAAATAAGAAAATTAAAATTTTGACTTTGTGATATTGGCAACATCAAAATATAACCAGATAGCTTTGGCCCACACATCTTTCTCATACTCCTCCAACTCATTCGGTGTTGCCCACCTATTATTTTTGGTTCAATCACCTTCAAGTTTCGGTATGTGCTTGAGAAATTACTTTTCTTCTTATCAAGTAGCATTCTTCCTAAAGTTTTCCTTTGCTAAGTAAAAATATATAAGATAAACAGAATAGTTGGAGTTATTTCTTCAATAATTTAATTTTTTAATATTTTTATTATACTCTAAGTTCTGGGATACATGTTGCAGAATGTGCAGGTTTGTTACATAGGTATACATGTGCCATGGTGGTTTGTTGCACCCATCAACCCATCATCTACATTAGATATTTCTCCTAATGCTATCCCTCCCCTAGCCCCCTACTCCCTTGACAGGTACCAGTGTGTGATGTTCCCCTCCCTGTGTCCATGTGTTAAAATTATTCAACTCCCACTTATGAATGAGAACATGCAGTGTTTAGTTTTCTGTTCTTGTGTTAGTTTGCTGAGAATGATGTTTCCACCTTCATCCATGTCCCTGCAAAAGAGATGAACTCATCCTTTTTATGGCTGCATAGTATTGCATGGTGTATATGTGCCACATTTTCTTTATCCAGTCTGTCATTGATGGGCATTTGGGTTGGTTCCCAGTCTTTACTATTGTGAACAGTGCTGCAATAAACATACATGTGCATGTGTCCTTATAGTAGAATGATTTATAATCCTTTGGGTATATAACCAGTAATGGAATTGCTGGGTCAAATGGTATTTCTCGTTCTAGATCCCTGAGGAATCACCACACTGTCTTCCACAATAGTTGAACTACTTTACACTCCCACCAACAGTGTAAAAGTGTTCCTATTTCTCCACATCCTCTCCAGCATCTGATGTTTCCTGGCTTTTTAATAATCACCATTCTAACTGGCGTGAGATGGTATCTCATTGTGGTTTCGATTTGCATTTCTCTAATGACCAGTGATGATGAGCTTTTTTTCATATGTTTGTTGGCTGCATAAATGTCTTCTTTTGAGAAGTGTCTGTTCATATCCTTCACCCATTTTTGATGGGGTTGTTTGTTGTTTTCTTGTAAATTTGTTTAAGTTCTTTGTAGATCCTGTATATTAGCCTTTTGTCACATAGACAGATTGCAAAATTTTCTCCCATTCTGTAGGTTGCCTGTGCACTCTGATGATAGTTTCTTTTGCTGTGCAGAAGCTCTTTAGTTTAATCAGATCCCATTTGTCAATTTTGGCTTTGGTCATTGCTTTTGTTGTTTTAGTCATGAAGTCTTTGCCCATGCCTATGTCCTGAATGGTATTGCCTAGGTTTTCTTCTAGGGTTCTTATGGTTGTAAGTCTTACATTTTAGTCTTTAATCCTTCTTGAGTTAATTTTTGTATAAGGTGTAAGGAAGAGGTCCAGTTTCAGTTTTCTGCATATGGCTAGCCAGTTTTCCCAAGACCATAAGTAATCCTTTCCCCATTGCTTGATTTTGTCAGGTTTGTCAAAGATCAGATGGTTGTAGATGTGTGGCATTATTTCTGAGGCCTCTCTTCTGTTCCATTGGTCTATATATCTGTTTTGGTAGCAGTACCATGCTGTTTTGGTTATTGTATCCTTGTAGCATAGTTTGAAGTCAGGTAGTGTGATGCTTCCAGCTTTTTTCTTTTTGCTTACAATTGTCTTAGCTATACGGGCTCTTTTTTGGTTCTATATGAAATTTAAAGTAGTTTTTTTTTGCAATTCTGTGAAGAAAGTCAATAGTAGCTTGATGGGGATAGCACTGAATCTATAAATTACTTTGGACAGTATGGCCATTTTCACAATATTGATTCTTCCTATCCATGAGCATGGAATGTTTTTCCATTTGTTTGTGTCCTTTTTTATTTATTTCCTTGAGCAGTGGTTTGTAGTTCTTGAGGAGGTCTTTCACATCCCTTGTAAGTTGTATTCCTAGGTATTTTATTCACTTTGTGGCAATTGTGAATGGGAGTTCACTCATGATTTGGTTCCCTGATTGTCTATTATTGGTGTATAGGAATTCTTGTGATTTTTGCACATTGATTTTGTATCCTGAGACTTTGCTGAAGTTGCTATCAGTTTAAGGAGATTTGGGGTGAGATGATGGGGTTTTATAAATATACAATCATGTCATCTTCAAACAGAGACTATTTGACTTTCTCTCTTCCTATTTCAATACCCTTCATTTCTTTGTCTTGCCTGATTGCCCTGGCCAGAACTTCCAATACTCTGTTGAATAGGAGTGGTGAGAGAGGCCATCCTTGTCTTGTGCTGGTTTTCAAAGGGAATGCTTCCAGCATTTGCCCATTCATTATGATATTGGCTGTGGGTTTGTCATAAATAGCTCTTTTTTATTTTGAGGTACATTCCATCAATACCTAGTTTATTGAGAGTTTTTAGCATGAAGGGGTATTGAATTTTATGGAAGACCTTTTCTGCATCTATTGATATAATCATGTGGTTTTTGTCATTGGTTATGTTTATGTGATGGATTACATTTATTGATTTGCATATGTTGAACCAGCCTTGCATCCCAGACATGAAGCCGACTTGATTGTGGTGGATGAGCTTTTTGATGTGCTGCTGGATTCGGTTTGCCATCATTTTATTGAGGATTTTCGTATTGATGTTCATCAAGGATATTGGCCTGAAATTTTCTTTTTTTGTTGTGCCTCTGCCAGGTTTTGATTGATGTGATTTATACTAAATGTGAGTGGTTCAGGGCAGCATTATTTCTCCTCTATATATAAACAAAATATAAGTCCCCAGCATACATAGATTAATGTTTTCTAAAAGTTCAGCAACAAATCAATGACACTACATCCTTTAAGCCATTCTTCCCAATTCCCCTTGCTGAGGCAGAGAGAGGGAGTAATAGAAACAAAGCTAATATTTAAACTATTTTCAGTAGTAGGAGACATTTAAGGCCAAAAAGTGTACTATTAACAGAAATCTTAAGTTCCTAAGTTACTGTCCTTCATAGGCCAATACCAGCTAAGAATTAGTTACTTGCACTGATTCCTTCCCAAAGAGAATTTTATAATTCACTCACTCTTGTTAGTGGCTGTGCTACAGGAAAGGTATCAAAGCAAGCTATGGTATATATATGGTATATAGTAATGTAAAAAGTGCATCACATTCTTGATTTTCAGTTTCTCATAGCAGCAGCACAATTAATCTAAGACAGAAAACAGCTGTACTTTCATTCTTAAAATGCAACAATATCTAGTGAAATGTATTCAAGATCATGAAAGGATCCGCCTCTATGAAGTATAAATGAAAACAGACTAATAATAATAGACAAACAGGGGTAAACTAAAGGCATTCATTCATATTTACATATTAAAACCCCTTTTGTTAACACCAAATCTTTACATCTAGTAAAAGAATGAGCACTTTAAGAATAAAGCAGACAATATTAAAGCAGTATCCATTTTCAGAGCCTTTGATTAGCACATGAGGAAACAAGGGTATATGGGAAGCTATGTAATTTGCCTCATGTTGGTTTGTTGGTCTGAAGAGTACAACTTTGATATGCACAGAAAGTAAAACTAAATAGGAAAATAAGTGTTTGTAGCTGTTTTAATATGGCTGTAGAAAAGGGATACTGGCCAGGTGCAGTGGCTCACATCTGTAATCCCAGCACTTTGGGAGGCTGAGGCGTGTGGATTGCCTGAGGTCAGGAGTTCAATACCAGTCTGGCCAACATGGTGAAACCCCATTTCCACTAAAAATACAAAAACATTAGCCTGGCGTGATGGTGTGTGCCTGTAATCCCAGCTACTCGGGAGGCTGAGCCAGGGGAATTGCTTGAACCAGGGAGGTGGAGGTTGCAGTGAGCTGAGATTGTGCCACTGTACTCCAGCCTAGGCAACAGAGCAAGACTCCATCTCAAAAGAAAAAAAAGAAAAGAAAAATATGTTCACACAAAAGACATACACACAATGTACATAGCCAAAAAAGTAGAAACAACCCACATGTCTACCAAACTACAACAAAATGTAGTATATCCATACAGTCAAATGTTATTCAGCCATGAAAAGAATGAACTACATGGATAACCCTCACAAAACACTGTCAGCTCCCACTTGGCTTTGCACTTCCACCTGCCCTGGTAGCTTAACACAAAACACAGAACTTTTGGGAGCTCTATGGCCCTGCTCATTGCCTGAGACACCAGATTACCTTCCCTGGGTAATATAAGGCAGGCACAATTCCCACTGCTACCACTGCAGTTGGTGCTCTCTTACAAGCACCACATCCTGGCTGGAGGCCAACCAACATGGTTATGTAGCAACAAGCTGTGAACTTTTTTCCAAGAAGCAACACAGGAACTTAACAGGGAAACAGAAAGAAACCACAGATCCTTTGAAAGAAGCAGCGGGCTGCAGCCTACACCGTGAGCCAGGCAGAAAGCTATTAAGTCCTCAGAGTGCAATAAGGGGAGAGACTGCCTCCAAGATATAGTCTCCACTGGGGAACCTGGCAAACAGCCCACAGTGGAAGGCCTTAACCCTATCCAGTTCTGGAGCTGTGACCGGTGAGAGTACATGAGGAGGAGCAGCATCAGCATGTACTTTGCATGCACTCCCAGACTCCAGAAAGAATGGAGGGAAGCCATTCCTGATCCTACCTCATAGGGGACCTTGCACAAGTCAGCTGGATAACTCAGATGGCAGTCCCAGGTTGATAGAAGCTCCCAACTGAGATTCATAATATAATCTCGAGTGGGACAAACCCCCTTAACCAGAACCGAGGGGCAAGGAGGAAGAGTGCTATAGCCACAGGTGCAAGTGTGGAGTGGGTGGGCCCTGGCCTGAAAGCCATGGTTTCTGTCTTGAGGGAGAAGACTTATGGCCTGGGGCAGTTTTGAGTTCTGAGTGTAGACTGCCTAGAATCTATCTAGCTGCTCCTAGTGGAACACTGTGGTGTGTGAAACATGCCTTGCCAATTGTGTGGGAGCTGGGTGGGGCTTACTGCTCCCTGCTACTCCCTCCCCTAAATGCAGATTCTTCCGTGCAGCGGAAGCAGCTGTACTCCTCCATGGAACATTATATCAGTGACCAAATAATTGCCATCTGATCCCCACTGGGGCTGCTGCTTACAACTGCACATGGGGAGTCAGAGTGCAGACTTGACTGACTCAACCCCCACTTGGCTTTGCCCTTCCACCTGCCCTGGTAGCTTAGTACAAAACACAGAAACTTTTGGGAGCTCTATGGCCCTGCTCATTGTCTGAGACACCAGATTACCTTCCCTGGGTAATATAAGGCAGGCACAATTCCCACTGCCACCACTGCAGCTGGTGCTCTCTTATAAGCACCACCTCCTGGCTGGAGGCCAATCAATATGGTCCAATACAGTATATGTAAGCAAAGTAACACAGTGTCCAGGAACAAGAAAACTTGTATAAGACCTCAGCTATCACCATTGCTTGCAGCACCCTGGTTAACCAGGAAGTCTTGAGTCTGTCCACATGACTAGCTCATTACTACTACAACTGGCACTTGAGAAAGCCAACACACTAAGACTATTTATAACCAAGGAAATCTAACTGATGGCAGTGACAGGAGAGTGAGAGTTGGTGCTGATACCTGCTGCTGGGAGACTTGAGGAAATGTCACATCACTGGATCCCTTGCAGACATGCCCCAGCACCATCCCTAAGTGTGGCAGTTCCACTAGGTGGGTAGGCCCAGAAGAGCAGCATGATTCACAGTAGCTCATCCCTCAGGGACTCTTACTCCTAGGGGAGGGGAGAGTGTACCACATCAAAAAAGTACCCTGTGGGACAAAAGAATCCAGACAGCTGGCTTTGAGTTCCAGAACTTTCTGCTTGTGAAAAGTTTCTTTAAGCACAGGCACAGGAGCAGTACTAGACTCAGTGGAGAAAGTCTGTGGCTCTACCCAAACAAGCAGCCCTGGTACTTGTGAAGGGTGCTAGAGAAGGTGACTTCTTCCCCTTGCCCACCAATGCTGACATAGCTGAGGCTTCTCCCATAAGAGCTCAGTGGTGGGTAAACCTGTAGACAGCCTTTCTAGAGAACTTCAGGGTGACTGCATCCCCAGAGGAGGAGCACCCTCCAGGTTCAGGCTTGCATGAAGGGTAGAGTAACGATCCTTTTCTATGTGAAACATCAGCATTTCTGCTAGTGAAAAGGGTGCCTGTCTAATCTGTATAGCTGGAACACTGGGTCAGGACTGTGACTTGGAGGTAGATCGCTTTCCTGCTGGCCTGGCAGGGGAGCTGAGGTGGCTCCCTCCCTTCCCCCTGAAAAGACAGTATGTTTCACTGAGAGCTCCCACAGCCACTTCTATCAAGGCTGGGACCTCTGTGCAACTTTAGGTATTGTATTTACCCATTTGCCTTAGCCATGCACAGTTTTTACCCATAGACACTGCTTACTGGCCTGAAGCCTGAACTGTTCAAATGAGAGAAAAAAATACTGGAAAGAAAAACAAATAAATAACAGTGCACACCACTGGGAGCAAGATAAACTTCATGAGACTTCTGCCTTTCAAACCCCAGAAGAGACAGTGAACCTGCTCACACACCAAGTATATCGCTACTATAACCAGCTTCTGAGAAAGCCATCATACAAAGACTCTCTGTAACCAAGGAACTCATACAGAGTCTTCACCACTAAAAGCATCCAGAGTCAAATTAGGTTACAATGAACCATAAACATTTAAGTCATATCCCTAAGGAGAAAAAAAGAAATTTCTAAAAATGTAGTCAAATAAAAAAATAAATTCAAAACAGAAGAAACAGTTTATCAAAATGAGAAGAAGCCAAAAACTAATTCTGGCAAAATGAAAAAACAGGGTTCTATAAGGTCCCAAAAATACCACACTAGCTCTCCAGCAATGGATCCAAACCAAGATAAAATCCTTGAAATGTCAGATAAAGAATGCAAAAAGTTAATGATTAAGTTACTCATGAAGATACAAAAGAAAGGTGAACACCAACATAAAAAAAATTAAGAATAATTTGGGATATAAATGAAAAATGTCTAAAGAGATAGATATTTTAAAGAAAAAACAGGAGGTGGTTAAAAAATGGCAGATAGAAGACAGAACCAGAGTGCAGCTCTCGCTTGGATGAACAGAACAGTGTCTGAAGATTCACACTGTAAACTTTTGCTCCAAGAACCACCACAGGAACACACCAGGAAGATCAAAATAATTCACAGCCCCTTTGAAAGAAGCAGCTTGCTGCTGAAAACTCTGTAAGACAGCCAAAAAATTATGAGTTCCCAAAGTGAGAGAAAGGAAGTCTGCCTCCGAACACACATAACCACTGAGAAACCTGAAAATCCAGATCTGGGAGAAGGATTTAACCTTACCTAGAGCTGAAGTGGATTTAGAGAGCTGAGCAAAATACGAAAGTAGAAGGAGGAGCAGGAAGAAACCTGTAGGCACTCTTGGTCCCCAGCTCAAGCTTAGGGAAGCCATTCCTTATCTAACAGAGGTCCTTGGGGAAGGAAAAGCAGCCAGAAAGAATTGAGCAGGGCTCACAGGGTGAAGGAAGCTCATAGCTGAAGCTTGTAATAATTTCTATTGAGCACAAATTTTCCTGAGAAGAATCTGGGTGGCGGGGGTGGGGGGGTGGGGCAGGGGCAAACCAGAAGTGCACATACAAGCACAGAAGCCTCAGCTGAAGGTGCAGGCAGGAAGGGAGGGATGAGGCCTGAGAACCCTGCTTGCTTTCTCAAGGGGGATGCTTGAAGCCTGGGGTAATGTCCCTGCCCTGCTCACCAGTTGCCTGGATGTAAACTCAGTGCTGTTGGTGGGGCACAGCAGGAATGAGATTGGCTTTGCTGATTACATGAAAGCTGGGTGAAGGCCTGTCACTGCCGGCTTTTCCCCACTTCTCTGGTGACCTGCATGATGCAGTAGAGGTAGCCATAATTCCCCTGGGAACATAACTTCATTGGCCTGATAACCACCCTACATCTCCAACAGTGGCCACAGCAAGCCCCACTTAAGGAGAGTCTGAGCTCAGACCCGTCTAACCCTGCACCCACCTGATGGTTTTTCTCTATGCACTCTGGCAGCCAAAGGAAAAAGACATAAGCTCTTGGGAGTTCCATGACTGTACCCATCACCCAAGAAACTGGAGTATTTGTCCTGGCCAATGTAGGGCAAGATTGTATCCTCCTTCTACGACCACAGCTAGTGGTCCTTGAAAGCACCACCTCCTGGCTGGAGGCCAACCAACTCAAGCCATTACAGCAACTCCTAACAGAACACCTCTGCTCCAAAGGAGAAAACAACAGCTAATTCCCCCGCCTGCAACACCCTGGCTAATCAGATGTCCTGAATCCATCCATGTCATAACTTCACTGTCAGCATGACAAGCATTTGAGAAAACTGGTGCACTAAACAAAACTACAACCAAGGACGCTCAGAGTCCACTACACTCCTGAGCTACTACTGTAGCACTGGACCAGGTGCTGGTATCCACAGCTGGGAGATTGAAGATGAGTCACATCACAGGACTTTTTGCAGACATTCCTCAGCACCAGCCAAAAGTCAGGTAGCCCTGCTGGGTGTTTAGACCCAGGAGGGCAATCACAATCACTGCAGTCTGGCTCTCAGGAAGTCCTATCCCTAGGTGAAGGGGGATAGCACCACATCAAAGATCACCCCATGGGACAAAAAAATCTGAACAGCATCCCTTGAGTTCCAGATTTTTCAACCAAAACAGTCTACCCAAATGAGAAGAAACCAGAAAAGTAATTCTGGTAATATGACAAAACTAGGTTCTATAACAACACCAAAAGATCACACTAGCTCTCCAGCAATGGATCCCAACCAAGGAAAAAAAATCTGAATTGCCAAAGAATTCAGAAGGATGACTATTAAGCTACTCAAGGAGGCACCAGAGAAAAGTGAAAACCAACTTAGAGAATGTTTTTAAAAATATAGGATATAGATAAAAAAGCCTCCAGAGAAACGGCTATCATAAAGACAAGATAATCACAACTTCTGGAAGTGAAAGACACACTTAGAGAAATGCAAAATACACTGAAAATGTTAAAAAAATATAATTAAATGAATAGAAGAATTTCACAGCTCAAAGAAAAGGCATCTGAATTAACCCAATCTATCAAAGACAAAGAAAAAAATTAAAAATGAATAAAGCCTCCCAGAAATTTGGGATTATGTTAAATAATCAAACATGAAAACAATTGTTCTTCCTGAGAAAGAAAAGAAATCTAAAAGTTTGGAAAACTTATTTCAGGGAATAATCAAGGAAAACTTCCCTCGTCATGCTAGAGATCTAGACATCCAAATATAAGAAGCCCAAAGAACACCTGGAAAATTTATTGCAAAAAGATTATCACCTAGGAACATAGTCATCAGGTTATCTAAAGTCAAGATGAAGGAAAGAATATTAAGAGCGGTGAGACAAAAGCATCAGGTAACCTATAAAAGAAAATCTGTCAGACTAACTACAGATTTGTAAGCAGAAACCCTAGAAGCCAGAAAGGATTGGGGTCCTATCTTTAGGTTTCTTAAACAAAGTAATTATTAGCCAAGAATTTTGTATTCAGCAAAATTAAGCTTCATAAGTGAAGGTGGTATGGTTTGGCTCTGTGTCTCCACTCAAATCTCATGTTGAATTATAATCCCCATATGTCAGGGGAGGGACCAGGTGGGAGGTTATTAAATCATGAAGGCAGATTTCCCTCATGCTGTTCTTGTGATAGTGGGTGAGTTCTCACAAGATCTGATGGTTTAAAAGTATGGCACATCCCCACCTTGTGCTCTCTCATTCTGTCATGTAACATATACGTTGCTTACCCTTTACCTTCTGCCATGATTGTTAGATTTCTGAGGCCTCCCCAGGCATGCAGAACTGTGAATCAATTAAACCTATTTTCTTTATAAATTACCTAGTCTCAGGTAGTTCTTTATAGCAGTGTGAAAATTGACTGATATAGGAATTCTGTACCAGACGAGTGGAGCACTGCTATAAAGATACATGAAAATGTGGAGGCGACTTGGTAACTGGGTAACAGGCAGAGGTTGAAACAATTTGAAAAGCTCAGATGAACACAGGAAGATTTGGGAAAGTTTGGAACTTCCTAGAGACGTGTTGAATGGTTGTGACCAAAATTCTGATAGTGATATAAACAATGAAGTCCAGGCTGAGGTAGTCTCAGATAAAGATAGAAACTCACTGGAAATTGAAGCAAAGGTCACTCTTGTTATGAAAAAACACTAGTGGCATTGTGCCCCTTCCCCAAATATCCGTGGAACTTTGAACGTGAAAGAGGTTATTTAGGGTATCTGGAGTAAAAAGTTTCTAAGCAACAAAGCATTCAAAATATTGCCCGGCTGCTCCTAACAGTGTACAGTCATATGCATTCACAAACAGCTGGTCTGAAATTGGAACTTACGTTTAAAAGGAAAGTGGAGCATAAAAGTTTAAAAAATTTGCAGCTGACTTTGTGGTAGAAAAGAAAAACCCATTTTCTAGAAAGAAATTCAAGCCAGCTGCAGAAATTTGCATAACTAAAGAGAAGCTGAATGTTAATAGCCAAGACAATGGGGAAAATGTCTCCAAGGTCAGTCAGAGACATTCATGGCAGCCCCTCCCATCATGGGCAAAATGAACTTGTTTTGTCTCAGATGAGACACTGAACTTGAAACTTTGAGTTAATGCTGAAAGGAGTTAAGACTTTGATGAACTGTTGGGAATTCATAATTGATTTTGTAATGTGAGAAAGACATGAGATTTTTTTTTCCACTTTTTTTATTATTATTATACTTTAAGTTTTAGGGTACATGTGCACAATGTGCAGGTTAGTTACATATGTATACATCTGCCATGCTGGTGCGCTGCACCCACTAAGTCGTCATCTAGCATTAGGTATATCTCCCAATGCTATCCCTCCCCCTTCCCCCCACCCCACAACAGTCCCCAGAGTGTGATGTTCCCCTTCCTGTGTCCATGTGTTCTCATTGTTCAATTCCCACCTATGAGTGAGAATATGCGATGTTTGGTTTTTTGTTCTTGCGATAGTTTACTGAGAATGATGATTTCCAATTTCATCCATGTCCCTACAAAGGACATGAACTCATCATTTTTTATGGCTGCATAGTATTCCATGGTGTATATGTGCCACATTTTCTTAATCCAGTCTATCATTGTTGGACATTTGGGTTGGTTCCAAGTCTTTGCTATTGTGAATAATGCCGCAATAAACATATGTGTGCATGTGTCTTTAAAGCAGCATGATTTATAGTCATTTGGGTATATACCCAGTAATGGGATGGCTGGGTCAAATGGTATTTCTAGTTCTAGATCCCTGAGGAATCACCACACTGACTTCCAGAATGGTTGAACTAGTTTACAGTCCCACCAACAGTGTAAAAGTGTTCCTATTTCTCCACATCCTCTCCAGCACCTGTTGTTTCCTGACTTTTTAATGATTGCCATTCTAACTGGAGTGAAATGGTATCTCATTGTGGTTTTGATTTGCATTTCTCTGATGGCCAGTGATGGTGAGCATTTTTTCATGTGTTTTTTGGCTGCATAAATGTCTTCTTTTGAGAAGTGTCTGATCTTTGACAAACCTGAGAAAAACAAGCAATGGGGAAAGGATTCCCTATTTAATAAATGGTGCTGGGAAAACTGGCTAGCCAGATGTAGAAAGCTGAAACTGGATCCCTTCCTTACACCTTATACAAAAATCAATTCAAGATGGATTAAAGACTTAAATGTTAGACCTAAAACCATAAAAACCCTAGAAGAAAACCTAGGCATTAACCATTCAGGACATAGGCCTGGGCAAGGACTTCATGTATAAAACACCAAAAGCAATGGCAACAAAAGCCAAAATTGACAAATGGGATCTAATTAAACCAAAGAGCTTCTGCACAGCAAAAGAAACTACCATCAGAGTGAACAGGCAACCTACAAAATGGGAGAAAATTTTCACAACCTACTCATCTGACAAAGGGCTAATATCCAGAATCTACAATGAACTCAAACAAATTTACAAGAAAAAAACAAACAACCCCATCAAAAAGTGGGCAAAGGACATGAAAAGACATGAGATTTGAAAGAGGCCAGGGGTGGTAAGATATGGTTGGGCTCTATGTCCCCACCCAAATCTCATGTTGAATTGTAATTCCTGTGTCAGGGGAGGGACCTGGTGGGAGGTAATTAGATTATGGGAATGAATTTCCCCCATGCTGTTCTTATGATAGTGAGTTCTCACACTGTCTGATGGTTTTAAAGTGTGGCACTTTCCCCATTTCTTTCTCTCTCCTGCCACCATATAAGACATGCCTTGCTTCTGCTTCACCTTCTGCCATAGTTGTAAGTTTCATAAGGACTCCACAGCCATGTGAAACTGTGAGTCAATTAAACCACTTTTCTTTATAAATTACCCAGTCTCAGGTAGTCCTTTATAGCAGTGTGTAAACATACTAATACCGAAAAGATAAAGTCTTTCTCAGACAAACAAATGCTTAGAGAATTTGCCACTATCAAGCCAGCACTACAAGAAATGCTAAACGGAGTTCTAAATCTTGAAACAAAACCTTGAAATACAGCAAAATAGAACCTCCTTAAAGCATAAATCTCACAGGGCCTATAAACCATTACACAAGGAAAAAAAGATATTCAGGCAGCAAGTAGCACAATGAATAGAATGGTACCTCACATCTCAATACTAATGTTATATGTAAGTTGCCTAAACGCTTCGCTTAGAAGATACAGAATGACATAATGGATAAAAATCTACCAACAAAGTATCTGCTGTCTTCAAGAAACTCACCTAACACATATGGCCTCACATAAACATAAGGTAAAGGGGTGGAAAGAGATATTCAATGCAAATGAAAACCAAAAGCAAGCAGGAGTAGCTATTCTTATACCAGACAAAATAGATTTTAAAGCCTCAACAGTTTAAAAAGACAGAGAGAGACATTGTATAATGATGAAAGAATTAGCCAACAGGAAAATATCACAATATATATGCACCTAACACTGGAGCTCCCAAATTAATAAAACAATTTTAAAAAACAATAAAACAGTTACTACTAGGCCTAAGAAATGAGACAGATGGCAACACAGTAATAGTGGGAAACTAATACTCCACTGACAGCACTGGACAGGTCATCAAGACAGAAAGTCAAATAAGAAACAATTGACTTAAGCTATACCCTTAGAACAAATCAACTTAACAGACATTTACAGAACATTCTACCCAACAACTGCAGAATATATAATCTTTTTATCAGAACATGGAACACTTTCCAAGATAGACCATAAGATAGGCAACAAAAAAGTCTCAATAAATTTAAGAGTATCAAAATTATATCAGTACTCTTGCTGACCACAGTGGAAAAAAATTGGAAGCCAATACAAAAAGGAATGTTCAAAACTTTACAAATATGTGGAAATTAAATAATCTGCTCCTGAATAATCTTTGGATCAACAATAAAATTAAGATAGAAATTTAAAAATCCTTTGAACGGAATGATAATAGTGACACAACCTATCAAAACATCTGAGATACAGCAGAAGTGGTGCTAAGAGGAAACTTCATAGCATTAAATGCCTACGGCAAAAAGTCTGAAAGAGCTTGGCTTGGTTGCAGGGTAGTCCACGGCACACAAAATGGCAGATGGGAAGGTGGGAAGGAGAAGGCTGAAAAGATGCAGTGAGCTGGAGCCACTGGAGGACCTGAAGAAGAAGTGGAAAAAACGGTGAAAACTAAGGCTGTTTATTCCAGTAATGGAGGGAAAACTTCTGGTCGCAGCACTGAGAAGCCATCAGCCGAAAAAGAAGCAGCAGTCCTCCCAACAAAGCCTACAAAGATCAAGTTTAGATCTACCACAGGTAGTCACATGACAAAGAAAGCATCAGCCATATCCATCAAACTTAGATTAAGTAAGCCTAAAGAACCTGTTCTGTGTAACTAGTTCAACCATTGTGGAAGTCAGTGTGGCGATTCCTCAGAGATCTAGAACTAGAAATACCATTTGACCCAGCCATCCCATTACTGGGTATATACCCAAAGGACTATAAATCATGCTGCTATAAAGACACATGCACACGTATGTTTATTGCGGCATTATTCACAATAGCAAAGACTTGGAACCAACCCAAATGTCCAACAATGATAGACTGGATTAAGAAAATGTGGCACATATACACCATGGAATACTATGCAGCCATAAAAAATGATGAGTTCATGTCCTTTGTAGGGACATGGATGAAATTGGAAATCATCATTCTCAGTAAACTATCGCAAGAACAAAAAACCAAACACCGCATGTTCTCACTCATAGGTGGGAATTGAACAATGAGAACACATGGACACAGGAAGGGGAACATCACACTCTGGGGACTGTTGTGGGGTGGGGGGAAGGGGGAGGGATAGCATTGGGAGATATACCTAATGCTAGATGACGAGTTAGTGGGTGCAGCGCACCAGCATGGCACACGTATACATATGCAACTAACCTGCACAATGTGCACATGTACCCTAAAACTTAAAGTATAATAATAAAAGAAAAAAAAAAGAACCTGTTCCAACTCTTGCTTCAAAAATTCTTTTGGTAGCAGCAGGTTTTAATGAAGATGAAGGTAGTCAACCTGAGGCAATGCCTCCAGAAGCAAAGATGAGGATTAAAAATATTGGAAGAAATACATTAACATCAGCTGGACCAAACTCCTTCAATAAAAGAAGCGTGTGTTTTTTGTTAACCAAAAGCTATGGGAGCAAAATATAAAACCTCATCTTGGTGTAATGCCCATGACTACGACAATTAAATACTCTGTTTTGAAACTGCAGTGTGGGGTGGGTGTAAAGTTAAATGAAACAGTTTCCTTTTTAAAGACTGGTATAAGACTATCTTTGGAGCTGCTTTTCTTTTTCTTTTCCATTTTTTTTAAAGATTGAGTGATACACTAATAAATCAGAGTTTGAAATTAGTGATAATTTATGTTTTCTATATGGATTTCAAGAAATTTGCTAATATTGTAGTTTCATGTGGTTAGTTTCCACAGGTTACAGATGACAACAAAATCAGAAATGATACCTTTTTAAGAATTGCATTTTTTAGACACAACTATTAGCAAATTAAGAGAAAAGCAAAAAGTTATTGTCGATTTATAACTACAAGCAGTTACCTTCTTGGCTACCTTATTACCTAAACCGTCTGGCTCCCAAGAACAGCCTTATATATAGTACTGGGAGGAAAACGCTACTTAACTATTGACTGAAAGTAAATTTAGATAAAATACAGCTTTTTCCTTATGGGTATTTGTTTTGTTTCAAGTCATCATAAACTAGGTATTGCATTTCTGTCAGTGGATACAGAAGCTTAGCTCTTAAAAACTTTAAGTCAGGAAACAACAGGTGCTGGAGAGGATATGGAGAAATAGCAACACTTTTACACTGTTGGTAGGACTGTAAACTAGTTCAACCATTGTGGAAGTCAGTGTGGCAATTCCTCAGGGATCCAGAACTAGAAATACCATTTGACCCAGCCATCCCATTACTGGGTATATACCCAAAGGATTATAAATCATGCTGCTATAAAGACACATGCACACGTATGTTTATCGCGGCACTATTCACAACAGGAAAGACTTGGAACCAACCCAAATGTCCAACAATGGTAGACTAGATTAAGCAAATGTGGCACATATACACCATGGAATACTATGCAGCCATAAAAAATGATGAGTTCATGTCCTTTGTAGGGACATGGATGAAGCTGGAAATCATCATTCTCAGCAAACTATCTCAAGGACAAAAAACCAAACACCGCATGTTCTCACTCATAGGTGGGAATTGAACAATGAGAACACATGGACACAGGAAGGGGAATATCACACACCAGGGCCTGTTGTGGGGTTGGGGGAGGGGAGAGGGATAGCATTAGGAGATATACCTAATGTACATCGCGAGTTAATGGGTACAGCACACCAACATGGCACATGTATACATATGTAACAAACCTGCACATTGTGCACATGTACCCTAAAACTTAAAGTATAATAATAAAATTTTTTAAAAAATAGCAGTTTCTAGGCAAAGATAAAAAAACTTTTTTTAATATTTATGTAAACTGGGGTTGGGCGTGGTGACTCACACCTGTAATCCCAACACTTTGGGAAGCCAAGGTGGGCAGATCAGTTGAGGTCAGGAGTTTGAGACCGGCGTGGCCAACATGGTGAAACCCAGTCTACTAAAAATATAAAAATTATCTGCGCATGGTGGTGCGCACCTGTGGTCTAGCTACTCAGGAGGCTGAGCTGGAGAATCACTTGAACTCAGGAGGCAAAGGTTGCAGTGAGCTGAGATTGGGCCACTGCACTCCAGCCTGGAAGACAGAGCAAGACTCTGCCTAAAACACACACACACACACACACACACACACACACATGTAAACTGTTGAATATTTGAAATAGCCCACTTCACCTTAATCGGTCTTGTCTATCTTCATTAGTATTCAAAGAACAACCATTTGCTAAAAGTAAATCAATACTTTGAATGTGCTTTTCTTAGTTTTAATTAGCTAGTTCCTGTAAGCATTTCTACCAGAAATTGAGGCAAATTCTAAGAAAGCTGTTTATTTTAAAATACAAACCACCACCAAAAATTTAAATGTACATATTGCTTAAGTATTAGGCTGTGTTTATTTTTTAAATGGTATAAACACCGAAGAGAAAAATTTAACATTGTATGCAGATGGAAAACAAGAAGATGCACTTTCTGTAACTTTGTCTAAGGATTTAGATTACTAACTTGTGAAATTCAATTTGAATTAAACTTAACTACAGGCTTCTTACTAGTAAAATTGTATGGTTTATTTTAAATGTATATATTTTGATCACTTCTAGAAGATAACTTTGGAAAAATTCTTCTAGACATTGGCCTACGCAAAGAGTTCATAAGCAAGAACCCAAAAGCAAATGCAACAAAAACAAAAATAAATAGATTGGACTTAAACTAAAAAGCTTCTTCACAGCAAAAGAAATAATCAGCAGAGTAAACAGAAAATCCACAAAGTGGGAAAAAATACTCATAAACTATGTATCTGACAAGGGACTAATATCCAGAATCTACAAGGAACTCAAAACAAATAAGCAAGAAAAAAGCAAATAACCCCATCAAAAAGTGGGCTAAGGACATGAATAGATAATTCTCAAAAGAAGATACACAAATGGCCAACAAACATTAAAAAAAAGTTCAAAATCACTAATTATCAGAGAAATGCAAATCAAAAACACAATGAGATACCACCTTACTCCTGCAAGAATGGCCATAATTTAAAAATAAAAAAAAAATAGATGCTGGCATGAATATGGTGAAAAGGGAACACTTCTACACTGCTGGTAGGAATGTAAACTAGTACAACCACTATGGAAAACAATATGGAGATTTCTTAAAGAACAAAAAGTACATCTACCATTTGATCCAGCAATCCCACTACTGTAGTATCTACCCAGAGAACAAGGAGTCATTATATGAAAAAAACACTTGCATACACATGTTTATAGCAGCACAATTCACAGTTACAAAATTATGAAACCAGCCTAAATGCCCATCAACCCACGAGTGGATAAAGAAAATGTGATATATTTATATATACATATATATATACCACGGAATACTTCTCAGCCCTAAGAAAATGAAATAATTGCACTCACAGCAACCTGGATGGAGTTAGAGACCATTATTGTACATGAAGTAACTCAGAAATGGAAACCCAAACATTTTATATTCTCACTTATAAGTGGGAGCTAAGCTATGAGGGTGCAAAAGGATAAGAATAATATATTGGACTCTGGGGACTCAAGGGGAAGGTTGGGAGGTGGGTGAAGAATAAAAGACTACACAATGGGTGCAGTGTACATTGCTCGGTGATGGGTACACCAAAATCTCAGAAATCACCACTAAAGAACATAGGCATGTAACCAAACACCACCTGTTCCCCAAAAACTACTGAAATAAAAAATACTCTAAATAATCTTTAAAAAGTACAATACATAATTAAATGTTTCATTATATGCATTATCAAAACTAGGCTGGTCTATTTATAGAGAAATTGAGTATCTCACTATTTTGATTTGAAGATAGATGTTGGCAAACAAAGAATAATTATTGTTATCATTATTGTATAAATACTATAATGGCTCTATCATATGCTGAATGATCACTAAAATGGAAATAAAGAGTCAAAAAAAAGAAAAAACGAAAAAGAAAAAAAAAAAAGAAATACTGGCCAGGTGTGGTGGCTCACGCCTGTAATCCCAGCACTTTGGGAGGCCAAGGCAGGTGGGTCACCAGAGGTCAGAAGTTCAAGACCAGCCTGGCCAATATGGCAAAACCTGGTCTCTATTAAAAATACAAAAATTAGCTGGTCATGGTGGTGGGCGCCTGTAATCCCAGCTACTCAAGAGGCTGAGGCAGGAGAATCGCTTGAACCCAGGAGGTGGAGGTTGCAGTGAGCCGAGATCACACCACTGCACTCCAGCCTGGGCGACAGAGTGAGACTTGGTCCCCCTGCTCCAAAAAAAAAAAAAAAAACAGAGACAGAGGCTCAACTTCAGTAGAAAACACAGAAACATAAAACAAAGCAATGAATACCAAATTGTACCCATCCAATTGAAAAACATTAGAAAGTCATATAATACTAAGTGTTGGACATGATATGAAGATCTGAGAACCCTCAGACCCTGCAGATGCAAACCTACATTGTTGCCTACTCAAGGAAATCAAGAATGAGCACCCCAAGGAACCAGAAACCCCACTCCTAGGTGTACACCTCATATGTTCTCATACTAGTCCTTAGGAAGACACGTCCAAAGACGTAGCCAGGAGCTGAGTGTACACACAGAGAGATAAATGATGAATATATATGGCTAAATTGTAAAGAAATTCAAACAATGCAGAAACATATCATGAATACTAAAAAAAGATGAAGAATAAAAAATTAGAAATTTTGGAAGTAAATGACACATTTAGGAAATTACAAAATGCAATGGAAAATTTTAACAATACACTATACCAAAGAGAAAGAATTTCAGAGCTCAAAAAAGGTTTTTTAATTAGTCCAATTAGACAATAAATAAATAAATAAAAGAACAAAGTCTCCAAGAAATGTGGGACTATGTACAATTGCCAAACCTAAGAATCACTGGTGTTCTGAAGAAGAAGCAAAAACTTTGAAAAACTTGCTTGAGGAAATAATTGAGGAAAACCTCCCTGGCCTTGATAGAGATTTATACATCCAAATACAAGAGGGTCTAAGGGAGAAAAGAATTCTAAGAGCAGCAAGACAAAAGCATAAGGCAACCTATAAAGGAAAACCTATCAAACAGCAGACTTCTCAGCAGGAACCTGACAAGCCAGGAGGGATTGGGGTCCTAGCTTTGGCTTCCTTAAACAAAATAACTATTGACCAATAAATTTTTATCCAGCAATACTATGTTTTATAAATGGAGGAGAAATAAAGATTTTTCAAGCAAATGCTGAGGGCATTTGACACTACAAGACCAGCCCTACAAGAAATGCTAAAAGTTCTAAGGATTAAGACAAAAGGTCGATATGCACCAGAAGAGAACCTCTTGAATGCATAAAACTCACAGGGCTTATGAAAGAATAACACAATGAAGAAAACAATGTAACTAAGTAGCAATCAACATAATGACTCGAGTAGTACCTCACATCTCAATATTAATGTTGAATATATGTGATATAAATGCTCTTCTTAAAAGATACAGATTGGTGGAATGGATTTTAAAAATCACAAACTGATCTCTACTAAAAATACAAAAATTAGCTGGGTGTGGTGGTGCGTGCCTGTAGTCCCAGCTACTTGGGAGGCTGAGGTAGGAGAATCGCTTGAACCAGGGAGGTGGAGGTTGCAGTGATCCGAGATCGCACTACTGCACTCCAGCCTAGCAACAGAGCAAGACTCCATCTTAAAAAAGAAATTATAAACTGAGTATCTGCTGTCTTCAAGACACACACCTAACATGTAAGGATTTTTATAGACTCAAGGTAAAAGGGTGGAAAACAATATTCCATGCAAAAGACAACCAAAAGTGAGCAGTAAGTCCTATTATTATATCAGATGAAGCACATTTTAAAGCAGCAACGGTAATGATAATAATAAGAGAATCAATCCAACAAGAAAATATTACAATCTTAAATATGTATGAACCTACCTCGGGAGTTCCCAGATTCATAAAACTATTACTACTTGACTTGAGGAGATCAGTAGACAGCAACACAATAACAGTGAGTGACTTTAAGACTCCACTGACAGCACATGGCCAGGCGCGGTGGCTCACGCCTGTAATCCCAGCACTTTGGGAGGCCAAGGCAGGCAGATCACGAGGTCAGGAGATCAAGACCATCCTGACTAACACGGTGAAACCCCATCTCTATTAAAAATACAAAAAAATTAGCCAGGCGTGGTGGCAAGCACCTGTAGTCCCAGCTACTTGGGAGGCTGAAGCGGGAGAATGGTGTGAACCCGGGAGGCGGAGCTTGCAGTGAGCCGAGATCGCGCCACTGCACTCCATCCAGCCTGGGCAACAGAGCGACACTCTGTCTCAAAAAAAAAAAAAAAAAAAAAGACTCCACTGACAGCACTAGACAGATCATCATGGCAGAAATTCAACAAAGAAACACTGAATTTAAACTGTACTCTAGAACAAATGGACTACACAGATATCTACAGAACATTCTATCAATAACTGCAGAATATACCTTCTTCTCGTCAGCACACGGAACATTCTCCAAGATTGAGCATACAACAGGACACAAAATAAGTCTCAATAAATTTTTAAAAATCAAAATCATTTAGAGTATCTTCTCAAACCACAGCGGAATAAAACCAGAAATCAATTACATAAGGAACCCTGAAAACTATACAAATACATGAAAATTGAACAATCTGCTCCTGAATAATTTTGGGGTTAATAAAATCAAGATGTAAATTTTAAAATTCTTTGAAATTAATGATAACAGTGATGCAACTTATCATAACTCCTGAAATAAAGCAGAAGCCATGCTAAGAAAAAAGTTTACAGCACTAAATGCCTACAGCAAAATATCTGAAACCTCACAAATTGACAAACTTACAACACATCTCAAGGAACTAGAGAAAGAAGAACAAACCCAAAGCTAGCAGAAGAAAAAAAAATGACAAGGATCAGAGCAGAACTAACTGAAATTAAAAATAAAAAATAAAAAACACAATACCAAAGATCAATGAAACAGAAAACTGTTTTTTGAAAAGACAACATCAATAGACTATTAGGTAGATTAACCCAGAAACAAAAAGAAAAGATTCAAATAAGCTTAATGGAAAATGAAAGTGAAGACTTACAACCAACAGCACAGAAGTATAAAAAATCCATCTGAGATTATTATGAACACCTCTATGCACTCAAACTAGAATATCTGGAGAAAATGAATAGATTCCTGAAAACATACATCCCTCCTAGCTTGAATCAGAAATAGAAATCCTGAACAGACCAATAGCAAGCAGTGATATTGAATCAGTAATACAGAATTTGTCAGGAAAAAAAAAGCCCAAGGCCAGATGGATTCACATGCAAATTCTACCCAACATTCGAAGAATTGGGTACTACTGAAACTATTTCAAAAGACTGAGAAAGAGCAAATATGCCCTAATTCATTCTATGAAACCAGTATCTCCCCAATACCAAAGCCAAGAAGGGACATGATAAGAAGAAGAAAACAACACACCCATATCCCTGACGAACATAGATGCAAAAATACTCAACAAAATACTAGCGAACCAAATTCAACATTGAAAAGTTAATTAGCCATTATCAAGTGAGTTTTATCCCAGGGATGCAGGGATGGTTCAACACATGCAAGTCAACAGATTCAGAAAAAGCATTTGATAAATTCCATCATCCCTTTATGTTAAAAACCCTCAACAAACTAGGTATAGAAGGGACGTACCTCAAGATAATAAAAGCCATACATAAAAAACCCCGCAGCCAGCACTATACTGAATGAGGAAAAATTGAAATCATTCCCTGAGAACAGGAATGCAACAAGGATGCCCACATTCAACACTTTTATTCAACATAGTACTGGAAATACTAGCCAGAACAATCAGATAAGAGAAAGAAATAAAGGGCACCCAAACTGGAAAAGAGGAAGTCAAACTACCTCTGTTTGCTGATATGATTGTATACCGAGAAAACCCCAAAGACTCCTCCAAAAAATCTCCTAGGTTTGATAAATGAATTTAGTAAAGTCTCAGGTTATAAAATCAATATGCATAAATCAGTGGCACTGCTATACACCAACAACGACTAAGCTGAGAATCAAATCAATAACTCACTTCCTTTTGCAACAGCTGGAAAAAATAAAATGAAATACATAGGAGTATTAACCAAGGAGGCGAAAGAAATCATAGATGACACAAACAAATGGAAATATATCCTATGCTCATGTGGTGAAGAAGAAACACTTACACACTGCTGGTGAGAACATAAATTAGTAAAACTTTTTATGGAAAGGAGTATGTAGATTTCTCAAATAACTAAAAGTATATCTACCATTTGATCCAGCAATTCCATTACTAGATATCTACCCAAAGGAAAAGAAGCCATTATAATGGAATACTATGCAGCCATAAAAAATGATGAGTTCGTGTCCTTTGTAGGGACATGGATGAAACTGGAAATCATCATTCTCAGCAAACTATCGCAAGGACAAAAAAACCAAACACAACATGTTCTCACTCATAGGTGGGAATTGAACAACGAGAACACATGGACACAGGAAGGGGAACATCACACTCCGGGGACTGTTGTGAGGTAGTGGGAGGGTGGAGGGATAGCATTAGGAGATATACCTAATGCTAAATGATGAGTTAATGGGTGCAGTACACCAACATGGCACATGTATACATATGTAACAAACCTGCACATTGTGCACATGTACCCTAAAACTTAAAGTATAATAATAATAAAATAAAAGAAAATAAAAAGAAAAGAAATCTGCACATGTATGTTTATTGCAGCACAATTCACAACTGTGAAGACATGGAACCAACCTAAGTGCCCATCAACTGATGAATGAATAAATAAAATGCCATATATATATATATATATGCACACACACACCCCAAGGAATACTACTCAACCATAAAAAAGAATGAAATAATGTAATTTTCAGCAACTTGGATGAAACTGGAGGCCATTATTCTAAGTGAAGTAACTCAGGAATGAAAAACCAAACACCATATGTTCTCACTTATAAGTGGGAACTAAGCTATGTGTATGCAAGGACATACAGAGTGGCTTAATGGACACTGGAAACCCAGAAGAGGGGAGAGTTGGAGGAGGATTAGGGACAAAAAACTACATATTGGGTACAATGCACAGTACTTGGGTGACAGGTGCACTAAAATCTCAGACTTCCCCACTATATAATTCATCCATGTAACCCAAAATCACTTGTACCCCTATCACTATTGAAATTTTTAAAAAGAACCAAAAAATAAAATTAAAAATTAAGAAAAAGAAATAAACAATCTGAATAGGGCTATATCTATTGATGATATTGAATCAATGACTAATAACCTTCCAAAACAGAAATCACCAGGCCCTGATGGGTTCACTGGTGAATTCCACAAAACGTTTAAGGAAGAAATTATACCAATCCTGTACAATCTCTTTCAAATTATAGAAGCAGAGGAAATACTTCCTAACACATTCTATCAGGCCAGCATCACCCTAATACCAAAAACCAGGCAAAGACACTACAAGAGAAGAAAACTATAGATCAATATCTCTAATGAACATAGATGCAAAAATTCTCAAAAAAATACTAGCAAATCAAACCCAATGTATAAAAATAAGTATAAACCTCAATCAAGTGAGATTTATTCCAGGTATACAAGGCTGGTACAACATTAGAATATCAATTAATGTAATCCATACCATCAACAGGCTACAGAAGAAAAATCACATGATCATATCATTAGATGCAAATAAAACATCTGACAAAATCCAACATCTATTCATAATTTTTTTAAAATTTTAGAAATCTTAGGAAATGAGGGGAACTTCCTTAATGTAATAAGAATTTCTATTTTAAAAGCCCTGTAACTAACATCATGTTTAATGGTAAGAAAATAGAATCTTTCCCATTAAAATCAGGAACAGGGCAAGGATGTCCATGAGCAAGGATGACCCTCTTGTCATCCTTTCAATAACATACTGGACGTCCTAGCTAATGCAATGAGACAAGAAAATGAAACAAAAGGAATACTAATTTGGAAGGATGAAATAACATTGTTTTTGTTCATCAGTTACATGATTGTTTATGCAGAAAATCTGAAAGAATCAACGGAAAAGCTGGAGCTAATAAGCAATTATAGGAAAGTCGAAGGACACAAGGTGAATATACAAAAGTCAATCAGTTTTCTATAAAGCAGCAATGAACAAGTGGAATTTGAAATTACTAACACAATCCCATTTACATTAGCACGAAATACTTAAGTGGAAATCCCATTTACATTAGCATGAAATACTTACGTGGAAATCTAACAAAATATGTAGAAGATTTATATGAGGAAAACTACAAAATTCTGATGAAATCAAAGAAGAACTACATAAATGGAAAGGTGTTCCATGTTCATGGATAGGAAGACCCAATATTATCACGATGTCAGTTCTTCCCAATCCATAGATTCAATGCAATCCCAATCAAAATCCCAGCAAATTACTTTGTGGATATCAACAAACTCGTTCTAAAGTTTTTATGGAGAGGCAAAATAACCAGAACACCACAATATTGAAAAAGAACAATGTTAGAGGACTGACACTAGCCAATTTCAAGACTTACTATAAAGCAACAATAATCAAGACACTGTGATATTGATGAAATAATAGACAAACAGATCAGTGGAAAAAATAGAGAACCTGGAAATAGAAATAGACCTACATAAATAAAATCTCCTGATCTTTGACAAAGGGGTAAATGCAATACCATGGAGAAAAGACCTTGTTTGTTTTGTTTTGTTTTGTTTTGTTTTATTTTGTTTTTAAAGACGGAGTCTTGCTCTGTCTCCCAGGCTGGAATGCAGTGATGCAATCTTGGCTCACTGCAACCTCCACCTCCTGGGTTCAAGCAATTTTCCTGCCTCAGCCTCTTGAGTAGCTGGCATTACAGGCGCATGTCATCACACCTGGCTAGTTTTTGTATTTTTAGTAGAGACAGGGTTTCACCATGTTGGCCAAGCTCGTCTCGAACTCCTGACCTCAGGTGATCCACTGGCCTCGGCCTCCCGAAGTGCTAGGAAGGATCATCATTTTTACAAATGGTTCTGGAACAAATGGATATCCACATGCAAAAAATATAAATCTAGACACAGACCTTACACCCTTCATAAAAATTAACTCAAAATGGATTACACACCTAAATATAAAACACAAAACTGTATAACTCCCAGAATGTAACATATGTGAAAATCCAGATAACCTTGGGTTTGGTGATGGCTTTTTAGATGGAACACCAAAGACACAATCCATGAAAGAAAGAATTAATAAGCTGGACTTCATTAAAATAAAAAAGTTGCTCTGCTAAAGACACTATCAAGAGAATAAAAAGGCCACATGCTGAAAGAAAATATTTGCAAAAGACACATGATAAAGAGCTGTAATCTAAAATACACAAAAATTATTTAAAATTAAACAATAAGAAAGCAAGCATCTCAAAAAAAGGGCTAAAGACCTGAACAGACACCTCACCAAAGAAGATATATAGATGGCAAATAAACATACAAAAAGATGCTCCACACTATATGTCATCAGAGATGTGCAAATTAAAACAATGAAATACCACTACAGACTTTTCCAATGGCCAAAATCCAGAACACTGGCCTCACCAAATTCTAGCAAGGATGTAGAGCAACAGGAACTCTCAGTCATTTCTGCTGGAAACACAAAATAGTACAGCTACTTTTGAAAACACTTTGGCAGTTTCTTACAAAACTAAATATACTCTTACCACATGATCCAACAATCTCAGTCCTTGGTATTTACCCAAATAAGGTGAAAACCTACGTCCACACAAAAACTTGCACATGGATGTTTATAGCAGCTTTATTCATAACAACCAAAATTTGGAAGCAACCAAGATGTCTTTCAGTGAGTGAGTGTATAAATAAACTGTGGTACATCCAGAAAATGGAATATTATTCAACACTAATAAGAAATGAGTTATCAAGCCATGAAACGACATGGAGGAATCTTAAATGCATATTACTAAGTGAAAGAAGCCAATCTGCAAAGGTTACATACTGTATCATTCCAACTATATGACATTCTGGAAGAGGCAAACTATGGAAACAGTAAAAAAAAACAAAAAAAATCAATAGTTTCCAAGAGTTGTGGAGAGGGAGAGATGAACAGGTAGAACACAGAGGAGTTTTAGGGCAGCAAAAATATTCTATATGAGATTGTAATGGTGGATACAAGTCATTATATATTCATCCAAACCTACAGACTGTACAACACCAATAGTGAATGCTAATAGAAACTATGGACTTTGGATGATAAATATATGTTGATGCTGATTCACAGATTCTAACAAATGTACTACTCTGGTGGGGGATGTTGATAATGGAGGTGGCTATGCATGTGGTGGTAGGGGTTATATGGGAAATCTTTGAACCTTCCTTTCAATTTTGCTGTTAATCTAACATTGCTCTAATAAATAAAGTCTTTAAAAATAAATTTAAATAAATGTAGGCTTTGCATGCTATATGACCTATGTCACAACTACTCCAACTCAGCATTGTACAAAACAGCCATAGACTACAAATTGACATGAATGTGTTCCAATAAAACTTCATTCATAAAAAGTCAGTGGGCCATATTTGGCCCATAGGCATAGTTTGCCAATCCTTGATGTATACACTTGAACATGGTTTGTCTCTCTGGTTCTTGGCCCTCCATGCTCCTTTGGGTGTGAGCTATCCCTGTCATAAGCCCCCCGGCCCCAGACTATTTGATTAGTGATCGGGCTACCTTAGAAGAGGAAGACTTAGGCAAAATTAATCATGTCAAAACGTGAAAGTTATCAACTTCCCCCACGAACTCTGCTCTTCTCACAATAGCCCCTATCATAGTGATTGGCAACATTGTTCATTCAGGCATTGAAGTTAGAAATCTGGCTGTTAGCTTTAACTTATCTCACTCCTCACCTGCCAACTGGTTGACAAATTCTGTTGATTTCCCCAAACACTATTACATCTTTCCCCTCCTCTCCTTCCCTTCATAGCCTGGCTTAGGCCTAGGCTCTTACCATCTCTTGGTTAGAGTACTGTTAATATCTTCCAGCAAAAGCGGGCTACTTGCAGTCCCCCAAGTATGTTGTGCTGTTTCGCATACATTTGCCACTACATATTTCCTTTTGCCTGGAATCCCCTCCTCCCTTAAATCCTGCTCCCATCTCTTATCTTCCTGGTGAAATCCTAGTCATTATTCAAAACCCAACTGGGACTTTCCCTTTCACACTTAATCATTGCCTCCTCAAGGCTACTTGGTTTAAATAGTATACCCTTGACAATCCCAATATACATGTTCCACAAGCCCCGAATTATGAATATTGGAAAATTTAAGTATACATGTCAGAAACTTAGGGCTCAAATAATTAACTAGGCTACTAAATATTGTAACTAAAATGAACTCTGCATTTCATTGCATCATGAATTTAGTAACATCAACCATAAAATTAGCTTAATCTGAAAAGAAACAATAAATCTTTTATCACTTCAGGTAATTTACTGCATATATAACCATAAATAAAGAACAGAGATCAACCTCGTAGAGACACTTGCTCCCACACAGTAGTCACACAGAATGTGAATCACACATGCATCTCAGCAAAATCACAAATTTCTCCATGTAAAAGACCTTTGGGAAAAACAGTGAGTGTCAAATCCATAAATGCCAAGAGCCTGCTGTACTTCTATTATTGTACTTGTGTCAATGAACAACTACAGCCCCAATGAGAACATGAGCTTCTTGGGGTCAGGCCCACTATTTTGTCATTCTTTTTGTACCAAAGTTGATCTAACAGGAAGCAACCACTCCAAAAACATTTGTTGAATTAAATTACCTCCTAATTGATCTTCCTACTTCAAGGCCATCTTCCTTTCCAAAATCCTGCCAGTTATTTCACAAAAACATATCCCTGATGTCACTCCATTTCCCCCAAACCTTTGATGGCTCTTCATAATCTGCTTTACATGATTATGTCCCCATGCCATGCTAGGACATATAAGAGCCTTCACACCATGGCCTCATACTCCCAGTCTCATTCTTAGCCTCTCTTCTTCACAAACACTCTTCAAGCCACACTAGCTGCTCCTGGAACATTTTTGGACTTTCATTACTCTATGACTTTGTAAATGCTGTTTCCTCTGTCTAAAAGGTCCTCCTCCTCTCATCTGCCTGGAAAACCTGAATTTATTAATATAGCTCAGCTTAAATATCGCTACCTTTGTAGCTTTCCCTGACCCCTCTCAGAATCAGTCTCCCTCATTTGTTTTTTTATACCAATGTGTTTGTTCTAAAAACATACTAAGCTGATTCTGCGGGGAGGGAAAAGGGAAGGAGGGAGTGCCCTGTCAAAGGACTTACCCAAGCAGCGACTGCGGCACTACGTGTTAAGCATATTGTTCAAGCAGCAGTGGGAGGATGGAGCTGGATGGCCTTCATGTTACGAGATGCTATGGCTCGCATCTTTCACACTGCGTGTGTGTGTGTGTGTGTGTGTGTGTGTGTGTGTGTGTGTGTGTAACTGTGGGGGGGGGTAGCAGGGGGAGAGAAAGAGAACGAAGGGAGACAGAGAGACTGAGACAGAAACAAAGAGGGCGGACGCAGTGCAGTAAGAGCAGATGGGCGGACCCAAATTTCTTCGGCTTCACGATTTTGCGGAGGTCTAGCCCTGCATCCAGCCTTGAAACAGGGTGGGGAGGAGGCAGAAAGGGGAGGGACTGCACTCCCTCTGAGCGTGCTAGCTCCGACTGCCTGACGGATCACCCTTCCGCTCCAACATGGCTAGTTCCTCAACGCCGTGACTCAAGCCTGTTGTGCCAGGCAGGGCGCACTCAGCAGCGCAGCCCCACAGGTGGCGAAGGCTCCGCGAGAGGGTTCCCGCCAGGCTAGACAGTGGAGTGCCGCACAGCGCGCCTTCCAGCCTCGCAGCCGCCACCCTAGCGGTTCCGACCCGGCGCCAGCAGGCCTGCTTGGTCGATCTTCGAGCCAAAGATGCGGCGAGGCTGGAAGATGGCTCTGTCTGGGGGGCTGCGGTGCTGCCGCCGGGTACTGTCCTGGGTGCCAGTGCTCGTTATTGTCCTCGTCGTGCTCTGGTCCTACTATGCCTACGTCTTTGAACTCTGCCTGGGTAAGTGGGGCTGGGCACCTAAGGTGGGGAAATTATACTCCAATATAATCGTTTGCCCTACCTTCACACTGGTGTCCCTTGTGTTCTCAAGCCTTCTCTCTGCGGTTTTCCTTTCTCTCCCTGGAGAGTTCCTTGTCCCCAGCCTCTGGCTTCCCACAATATTTCCTGCGCCCTCCCACCAGGGTCCCGCCGTGTCTCCATCGTCTCCCACCTAGGGTTTCTTATTTCTTTGCCCTACCCACAATAATGTCCTGGCTCTTCCCACGAGGGCTCCCTTTTCTCATACAGGGCAACCATCTGCACCTTGTGCTCTCCTTCTGGGAGCCCCTACTGTACCAAGTTGAGGAAACAACATACCCTGTGTCTTTAAACTGTTTGCTCACACTAGGAATCTCACCAATGCATCCAACTAGGAGCCCCACCATTTTCCCTCCTACTAGAATCCTACTAGGATTTCCTACTAGGGATTTCCTACTGAGAGTTCCAAAATATTTCCTCTACTCTCTTACTAGCTCTCCTTTTTCACACACTGGAATCTATCGTTTTCCCGTGATCCTCTCACACTGGCTGAAGTGCTTCATATCTTTGTCCACTTGTGATCCCACAGTGCACCCTATTCTACTCCATTAAGATCTTCCGTTTTCACACAGTGGTAAGCCCTCCATTCTCTTTCCCTGTGGGCTCCCCCCATTTAATCATTTTCTTTAATGGGATTGGTATTCTATAATACATCCTCTCTCACATGAGAGGCCCTGATTATATTATACTGGAGTTCCCTCCAGTCTCCTGCCTTCTTGCTTTGAGGAGCATTCGACTCCTTCCCATTAGGAGCCCCACATTATTTTCTGACACCTTATACTGGTGACCCTGCTATTGTCACATGATGATAGTGCCTTCTCCCACTAGAGTCACCTCTTTTACCCTCCCACAAGGGTTTCCGTAATTTATCTCCTATTCCATCAAAGGGCCGCTACTTTTCTAATCATTATTCCTCGTTATCTTTTTTAGGAAACCCACTCCCCACCTCCCACAGTGTTCTTTCACTTTTAGCCCCACATTCTGCCATCCACTTCCTTTGGGATTTCTTATTATTATTTCTTCTTACTTCTCATTGGATTGCACTTGTCCCATCTTCTCAAACTGGGGAAACCCCATTCTTTCTTACTGGGGTTTCTAATATTTTCTACTCCTCCCAATGGGCATATCATTTCTCATTCCCTCTCATTAGACTACCCCTTTTATAATTCTATGATCTTTTTTTACCCTGTCCTGTCACACTAAGGAGCACTCTATATCCTCCTTATTTGCAAAATGGTTCTCACAGTATAGCTTGTGCATTCAAACTCAGAATTCTACAATATTTCCCGACACAAACCCCAAGTCTCTCCCTTATATTATTCCCACTTTCCACTTTAATTCCCCCCGTTCCCCATTCTTATTATTATTGGCCTTGCAATGCTCTCATCAACTCACAATGGCGTTTTCATATTATATCCTGTCTTGTTACAATAGGGTCCCTGCTTTTCTCACAGTAAAATCTCCCCTTGTCCCTGTCTTCTCACATTGAAGAATCCCTGTCTCCTCTCAAAAGAGATTCCACTAATACTTGTCAGTCTTGTCACTTCGACACTGTAATTCCATCGCCAGCACCCTTAAACTTGTGGCCTACAATGTTCCCTATTCATCTAGTTTGGGGCTCCAATATGTTTATACTCCTCTCACAGTAGGACTCCTGACCCATTGGACATCCCCTCACTCCCAAGTCCTTCTGAGACTTCTTTATTTTTTCATACCAAACTCTTCTCACCTTAAAAATGATGGTAAGGATGCTGCTTTTTTGAACTCCGGGACCTGACTCCATTTGTAATTTTCTTCTGTTACATATTTGCAAAGCAATAGTCTACCCCAGGTAGACTGGGATAAACTAGGGAGGCAGGAGATGATCCTCTTTTCCAATATAGAACTTTCTATATTCTAATTCTATAATTTCCTATATTCTAATTCTAATTACCTCTCTGAATCACAATTGGAATTTTTTTTACCTCTTCCTTAGAGATATTATGGAAAATGCAGAAAGAGCTCTTAAAATAAATGTCATTAGTTGCCTTCATAGATACAAGTTAGCCTAGTTTTCTTTTGTATCTCAATCCAGTATTGGGATGCATTAAGTAGACTATGCAATGACTGGGAAGCTTTTCTATTCTCAGACCTTACTACTTTGGCTTTTTGAATGATTGATTGAAGGGTCAAAAGTTCAGCACCATTATTATGGTATGGACATTGCTCCTAGGATCAATGCCATATTGTAAACAACTTATTTTGGAGTTTTTCAGTATTGACTCATATGAGCTTCACCAAGATATATTTTAAAAATTAATGATGATAATGACTAACACTTATGTATTGCTTACTCTGTGCCAGAAAATGTTCTAAGTTCTGTAGATAGATTAACTATATATTAATTCATTTAATCATCACAATAACTATATGAGGCAGGTACCATTACTGTTTCCATTGTACAAATGTGTAAACTGAGGCACAGATGAGCAAACCAAGGTAAAGACCAAGTTACTGCAAATAATTGGCCTTCTATAAGTTCTTCTTTAGTCATGTAATATTAACAGATGAAAGGAAGCGTAGGACTTATTTGTTTGTTTTAGTTAACATACTTGCACCACACTGCTACATGCCAAGTACTATTTCTAGGTGACTACACACACAGACACTTAATCTTTATAACAACTTTCCAATGTATATACTATCATTACTTGTTTGTAAACTGAGGAACAGACAGAATAAGTAGCTTACCTAAGGTCACAGAGCTAGTAAATGGCCAAACTTAAAACCCAGGCAGTATGTTGCCACAGTCTCCTCTAAACTAATGCAGAGGTAAAAACTTTGTGACATACAAGCCAGATGTAGCCTTCAGATATATTTTGCCTGGCCTGCACAGTGTTTTCTTAACATTTTGCATCAGTTCCCATTATTTAAAAGTCAGGAGAATAAGGCAGCTTTGACTTTCAACTCTGGCTGAACCAGTCCCTCCTGCCATCATCAGTTTAACAATCTTGTAACAAATTAGCAACCTGGGTTTTGGAAAGGTTAAATCAAATTTTCCTAAGGCCACACATTTAGTAATAGTGAAGAGTTGGAAATCCAGGCTGCCTGATACCAAGGCCATACCTTTTCCAACACAAATAAATTAACAAATTTGCATTTCAATATGTCTCAAAAAGTAACATTAAGGACCTAACTTCTTTCCAGGGATAAAACCTGATGTCTTTCTCCCTAACGTTACATTAGAGCTGAAACCAAAAGAGATGTTTTTGTCCTTTAATTCTTAGAGTTTGAATTCTGCCATTTACTAGCCTGGAGACCTGGGGCAAGTAACTTCACTCTCTCAACCTCAGTTGTCTCACATGTACCTTGCTTCTACAGTTGTTCATCCATATGACAAATGGTTGCTTAGCACTCAGTATATGCCAGGTATTACTGCTGTGAGGCTCAAATAACATGATGCCTGAAAAGCATGCATCACAGTTCACAACACATTATAAGAGCTCATTAGATAGTAACTTGTGATTAGTAAAGAAATAAAGGATTCTTCCTGACCCAGGAAAATAAGAAGCTTAGCTTTTTAGAGAGGAGGGAAAGTAACAGTATCCATTTTATTGGGGTGAAATTTATATAACATAAAATTAACCATTTTTAAGTGTTCGCCTCAGTGCCATTTAGCACTCACAATGTTGTGCAGCCATCACCTCTATGTAGTTCCAAAATGTTTTTGTTATCCCATAAAGAAACCTCATAAGCATTAAGCAGTCACTCCCTGTTCCCTCTTCCCCCAAGTCCTAGCCAATTATTAATCTGCATTCTGTCTCTATGGATTTACCTATTATGGATGTTCCATATAAATAGAATCATAAAATATGTGTTCTTTTGTGTCTGACTTCTTCCAATTAACAAAATGTTTTTGAAATTGGTCCACATTATATTATGTAACAGTAATTTATCCCTTTTAATGGCTGAATAATAGTCTATTGTGTGTGTGTGTGTGTGTGTGTGTGTGTGTGTGTGTGTGTATATATATATATATATATATATATATATATATATATACCAGTTTGTTATCCATTCATCCATTAATGGCCATTTGGGCTATTTCTACCTTTTGTCTCTTCTGAATAGTGCTGTTACAAACATTCATGTATTTGTTTGAATATCTGTCTTCAATTATTTTGAGTATATACACCAGGGAGATGGATGGGGATAATTGGACTGTATGGTAATTCTATGTTTAACTTTCTGAGGAACCTCCAAACTATCTTCCGCAGTGACTGCACCATTTTACATTCCCATCAAGCAGCACAGAAGGGTTCCAATTTGTCCACATTCTCACCAAGACTTGTTATTTTCAGTTTTATTTTTATTATAGCCATCTTACTGGGTGTGAAGGGGTATCTCATTATGGATTTGATTTGTATTTCCATAATGAAAAAAATATTGAGTATCTTTTTATGTACTTGTTTGCCATCCATATATCTTCTTTGGGAAAATGTCTATTCAAGCCATTGTCCATTTTTTAAATGGGATTTTTAAATTGGGTTGTCTTTTTGTTGTTGAATTTTAATATTTTTTGCATGTTCTGAATACTTGATCTTTATCAGATACGTTATTTGCAAACATTTTCCCCCATACTTGATAGTATCATTTTATACACAAAGATTTTTAATTTTAATAAAATTCAATTTATCTATTTTTTCTTTTGTTGCCTATGCTTTTGGTGTCATATTTAAGAATCCATTACCAAATGCAAGAGCATAAAGATTTACCCCTGTGGGATTTTTTTGTTTGGTTGGTTGGTTGGTTGGTTTTGGTTTTTTGTTTGTTTGTTTGTTTTTTGTTTTTTTTTGTTTTTGTTTTTGATACGGGACCTCACTATGTTGCCCAGGCTGATCTCAAACTCCTGGGCTCAAGTGATCCTCCCACCTTAGCCTCTCAAATAGCTGGGGCTACAGGCGTGTGCCCTGTGTTTTCTTATAATAATTTTATACTTTTAGCTCTCACCTTTAGGTATTTTAGCCATTCTGAGTTAATTTTTTATATCTGGCATAAGATACGAGTCCAGCTTTTTTTTAAAATTTTATTATTATTATACTTTAAGTTTTAGGGTACGTGTGCACAACATGCAGGTTTGTTACATATGTATACATGTGCCATGTTGGTGTGCTGCACCCATTAACTCCTCATTTAACCTTAGGTATTTCTCCTAATGCTATCCCTCCCCCCTCCCCCCACCCCACGACAGGCCCCCGTGTGTGATGTTCCCCACCATGTGTCCAAGTGTTCTCATTGTTCAATTCGCACCTATGACTGAGAACATGCAGTGTTTGGTTTTCTGTCCTTGCGATAGTTTGCTGAGAATGATGGTTTCCAGCTTCATCCATGTCCCTACAAAGGACATGAACTCATCCTTTTTTATGGATGCATAGTATTCCATGGTGTATATGTGCCACATTTTCTTAATCCAGTCTATCATTGATGGGCATTTGGGTTGGTTCCAAGTCTTTGCTATTGTGAATAGTGCCGCAATAAACATACTTGTGCATGTGTCTTTATAGTAACATGATTTATAATCCTTTGGGTATATTCCCAGTAATGGGATCTCTGGGTCAATTAGTATTTCTAGTTCTAGATCCTTGAGGAATCACCACACTGTCTGCCACAATGGTTGAACTAGTTTACACTCCCACCAACAGTATAAAAGTGTTCCTATTTCTCCACATCTTCTCCAGCACCTGTTGTTTCCTGACTTTTTAATGATCGCCATTCTAACTGGTGTGAGATGGTATCTCATTGTGGTTTTGATTTGCATTTCTCTGATGGCCAGTGATGATGAGCATTTTTTCATGTATCTTTTGGCTGCATAAATGTCTTCTTTTGAGAAATGTCTGTTCATATCCTTTGCCCACTTTTTGATGGAGTTGTTTGATTTTTTCTTGTAAATTTGTTTGAGTTCTTTGTAGATTCTGGATATTAGCCCTTTGTCAGATGTGTAGATTGTAAAAATTTTCTCCCATTCTGTAGGTTGCCTGTTCACTCTGATGGTAGTTTCTTTTGCTGTGCAGAAGCTCTTTAGTTTAATTAGATCCCATTTGTCTATTTTGGCTTTTCTTGCCATTACTTTTGGTGTTTTAGTCATGAGGTCCTTGCCCATGCCTATGTCCTGAATCGTATTGCCTGGGTTTTCTTGTAGGGTTTTTAAGGTTTTAGGTCTAACATTTAAGTCTTTAATCCATCTTGAATTAATTTTTGTATAAGGTGTAAGGAAGGGATCCAGTTTCAGCTTTCTACATCTGGCTAGCCAGTTTTCCCAGCACCATTTATTAAATAGGGAATCCTTTCCCCATTTCTTGTTTTTGTCAGGTTTGACAAAGAGCAGATGGTTATAGATATGTGGTATTATTTCTGAGGGCTCTGTTCTGTTCCATTGGTCTATATATCTTTTTTGGTACCAGTACTATACTGTTTTGGTTACTGTAGCCTTGTAGTATAGTTTGAAGTCAGGTAGCATGATGCCTCCAGCTTTGTTCTTTTGGCTTAGGATTGTCTTGGCAATGCAGGCTCTTTTTTTGGTTCCACATGAACTTTAAAGTAGCCTTTTCCAATTCTGTGAAGAAAGTCATTGGTAGCTCGATGGGGATGGCATTGAATCTATAAATTACCTTGGGCAGTATGGCCATTTTCATGATATTGATTCTTCCTATCCATGAGCATGGAATATTCTTCCATTTGTTTGTGTCCTCTTTTATTTAATTGAGCAGTGGTTTGTAGTTCTCCTTGAAGAGGTCCTTCACATCCCTTGTAAGTTGGATTCCTAGGTATTTTATTCTCTTTGAAGCAATTGTGAATGGGAGTTCACTCATGATTTGGCTCTCTGTTTGTCTGTTATTGGTGTATACGAATGCTTGTGATTTTTGCACATTGATTTGGTATCCTGAGACTTTGCTGAAGTTGCTTATCAGCTTAAGGAGATTTTGGCCTGAGATGATGGGGTTTTCTAAATATACAATCATATCATCTGCAAACAGGGACAATTTGACTTCCTTTTTTCCTAATTGAATACCCTTTATTTCTTTCTCCTGCCTGATTGCCCTGGCCAGAACTTCCAATATGTTGTTGAATAGGAGTGGTGAGAGAGGGCATCCCTGTCTTGTGCCAGTTTTCAAAGGGAATGCTTCCAGTTTTTGCCCATTCGGTAGGATATTGGCTGTGGGTTTGTCATAAATAGCTCTTACTATTTTGAGATACATTCCATCAATACCTAGTTTATTGAGAGTTTTTAGAATGAAGGGCTGTTGAACTTTTTCAAAGGCCTTTTCTGTGTCTATTAAGATAATCATGTGGTTTTTGTCTTTGGTTCTGTTTATATGATGGACTACGTTTATTGATTTGCATATGTTGAACCAGCCTTGCATCCCAGGGATGAAGCCAACTGGATCTTGGTGGATAAGCTTTTTGATGTGCTTCTGGATTCGGTTTGCCAGTATTTTATTGAGGATTTTGCATCAATGTTCATCAGGGATATTGGTCTAAAATTCTCTCTCTTTTTTTTCTTTGTTGTGTCTCTGCCAGGCTTTGGTATCAGGATGATGTTGGCCTCATAAAATGAGTTAGGGAGGATTCCCTCTTTTACTATTTATTGGAGTAGTTTCAGAAGAAATGGTACCAGCTCCCCTTTGTACCTCTGGTAGAATTCGGGTATGAATCCATCTGGTCCTGGACTTTTTTTGGTTGGTAGACTATTAATTATTGCCTCAATTTCAGAGCCTGTTATTGGTCTATTCAGGAATTCAACTTCTTCCTGATTTAGTCTTGGGATGGTGTATGTGTCCAGGAATTCATCCATTTCTTCTAGATTTTCTAGTTTATTTGCATAGAGATGTTTATAGTATTCTCTGAAGGTAGTTTGTATTTCTGTGGGATCAGTGGTGATATCCCCTTTATCATTTTTTTATTGCGTCTATTTGATTCTTCTCTCTTTTCTTCTTTATTAGTCTTGCTGCTGCCTCACAATTCTATCTCGGACTGCTGTACTAGCAGTGAGCAAGGCTCCATGGGCGTGAGACCCACCGAGCCTTGCATGGGATATAATCTCCTGGTGTTCCATTTGCTAAGACCATTGGAAAAGCACAGTATTAGGGCGGGAGTGTCCCGATTTTCCAGGTGCAATCTGTCATAGTTTCCCATGGCCAGGAAAGGGAATTGCCAGACCCCTTGTGCTTCCTGGGTGAGGTGATGCCCCGCCCCGCTTCGGCTCACACTCCATGGGCTGCACCCACTGTCCAACCAGTCCCAGTGAGATGAACCTCGTACCTCAGCTGGAAATGCAGAAGTCACCTGTCTTCTGTGTTGCTCACGCTGGGAGCTGTAGACTGCAGCTGTTCCTATTCAGCCATCTTGGAATGATCCTGTTGAATACCAGCTTAATTTAATAGTATACAAAACCCAGCCGTTTACAGCTCTGTTGCCCCCTTTATGCTATTATCACAAATTACATCTTTATACATTGTATACTCCTTAACGTAGATTTATCATTGTTGTTTTATGCATTTTTTCCTTTAAATTAGATAGTAAAAAGAGTTAAAAAAAACGTAAAACTCAATATTACTTGCTTTTGTAGCTACCTGTATAGTTTACCAGTGTTCTTATTTTTTTGTATAGCGTGGGTTACAGTGAGTGCCTTTTCAGTTTTTCTAAAGAATGCCCTTTGGCATTTCTTGAAGGGCAATTCTACTAGTGATCAGCTCCCTCAGTTTTTGTTTATCTGAGAATGTCTTGTTTTCGCTTTCATTCTTTGAAGTATAGTGTTGCTGGACATAGAGTTCTGTATATGTGTTGACAGATGTTTTTCTTTTTCTTTCAGCAATTTAAATATCACATTTCACTGCCTTCTAGCCTCTGTGGGTTCTTAAGAGAAATCAGCTGTTAGTCTTATTGTTTTTTTTTTGTTATGTAAAAAGTCAATTTTCCTGCTTTCAAGATTTTCTTTTTGTTTTTTGGCAATTTGACTATAATGTGTCTGATTGTGGATATCTTTTAGTTTATTCTATTTGGAGTTCATTGCACTTCTTGGATGTTTAGATTCATATTTTTTACCAAATGTATGAAGTTTTTTAGCCATCATTTTTTCAAATACTCTTTCTGTTTTTCCTCTCTTTCCTCTCACTTTGGAAGCCCCGTTATGTGTATATTAGTATGTTAGGATATAGGCTGTATATTAGAGTGTAGGCTCTATTATTGTATATAGTAGAGTGTAGGCGGCTGTCCTCACAGCCTCTACTGATCTGGGATGTGGAGGATGGTAGGCAGCCACTTTAAAATGTCACAGTATCCTCTTACTACAAAGCATCAGTTCTTTTCTTCACCAAGTCTTCCTCTCTGGTTATTGTAACAATTTTACTAGATTCCAGAGTTCTGCAAAAGTTTATTCTGACAGTTTTTGCCAGCTCATTAGTTGCTTTTGAGGAGGGATGTAAGTCTGGAGTACTCTTAGTTTTGGTGCCCAATAGTATCCATTCTGAGATTAAAAAATAAAAATAGCTATGATATAATTCTACTTGAAAGGTAGAAATTTTCCGAAGAGACATGAAGTCCTTGCCCACGCCTATGTCCTGAATGGTAATGCCTAGGTTTTCTTCTAGGGTTTTTATGGTTTTAGGTCTAACGTTTAAATCTTTAATCCATCTTGAATTGATTTTGTATAAGGTGTAAGGAAGGGATCCAGTTTCAGCTTTCTACATATGGCTAGCCAGTTTTCCCAGCACCATTTATTAAATAGGGAATCCTTTCCCCATTGCTTGTTTTTCTCAGGTTTGTCAAAGATCAGATAGTTGTAGATATGTGGTGTTATTTCTGAGGGCTCTGTTCTGTTCCATTGATCTATATCTCTGTTTTGGTACCAGTACCATGCTGTTTTGGTTACTGTAGCCTTGTAGTATAGTTTGAAGTCAGGTAGTGTGATGCCTCCAGCTTTGTTCTTTTGGCTTAGGATTGACTTGGCGATGCGGGCTCTTTTTTGGTTCCATATGAACTTTAAAGTAGTTTTTTCCAATTCTGTGAAGAAAGTCATTGGTAGCTTGATGGGGATGGCATTGAATCTGTAAATTACCTTGGGCAGTATGGCCATTTTCACGATATTGATTCTTCCTACCCATGAGCATGGAATGTTCTTCCATTTGTTTGTGTCCTCTTTTATTTCCTTGAGCAGTGGTTTGTAGTTCTCCTTGAAGAGGTCCTTCACATCCCTTGTAAGTTGGATTCCTAGGTATTTTATTCTCTTTGAAGCAATTGTGAATGGGAGTTCACTCATGATTTGGCTCTCTGTTTGTCTGTTGTTGGTGTATAAGAATGCTTGTGATTTTTGTACATTGATTTTGTATCCTGAGACTTTGCTGAAGTTGCTTATCAGCTTAAGGAGATTTTGGGCTGAGACGATGGGGTTTTCTAGATAAACAATCATGTCGTCTGCAAACAGGGACAATTTGAGTTCCTCTTTTCCTAATTGAATACCCTTTATTTCCTTCTCCTGCCTGATTGCCCTGGCCAGAACTTCCAACACTATGTTGAATAGGAGCGGTGAGAGAGGGCATCCCTGTCTTGTGCCAGTTTTCAAAGGGAATGCTTCCAGTTTTTGCCCATTCAGTATGATATTGGCTGTGGGTTTGTCATAGATAGCTCTTATTATTTTGAAATACGTCCCATCAATACCTAATTTATTGAGAGTTTTTAGCATGAAGGGTTGTTGAATTTTGTCAAAGGCTTTTTCTGCATCTATTGAGATAATCATGTGGTTTTTGTCTTTGGCTCTGTTTATATGCTGGATTACATTTATTGATTTGCGTATATTGAACCAGCCTTGCATCCCAGGGATGAAGCCCACTTGATCATGGTGGATAAGCTTTTTGATGTGCTGCTGGATTCGGTTTGCCAGTATTTTATTGAGGATTTTTGCATCAATGTTCATCAAGGATATTGGTCTAAAATTCTCTTTTTTGGTTGTGTCTCTGCCCGGCTTTGGTATCAGAATGATGCTGGCCTCATAAAATGAGTTAGGGAGGATTCCCTCTTTTTCTATTGATTGGAATAGTTTCAGAAGGAATGGTACCAGTTCCTCCTTGTACCTCTGGTAGAATTCGGCTGTGAATCCATCTGGTCCTGGACTCTTCATAGGCGTGGGCAAGGACTTCATGTCCAAAACACCAAAAGCAATGGCAACAAAAGCCAAAATTGACAAATGGGATCTAATTAAACTAAAGAGCTTCTGCACAGCAAAAGAAACTACCATCAGAGTGAACAGGCAACCTACAACATGGGAGAAAATTTTCGCAACCTACTCATCTGACAAAGGGCTAATATCCAGAATCTACAATGAACTCTAACAAATTTACAAGAAAAAAACAAACAACCCCATCAAAAAGTGGGCGAAGGACATGAACAGACACTTCTCAAAAGAAGACATTTATGCAGCCAAAAAACACATGAAAAAATGCTCATCATCACTGGCCATCAGAGAAATGCAAATCAAAACCACTATGAGATATCATCTCACACCAGTTAGAATGGCAATCATTAAAAAGTCAGGAAACAACAGGTGCTGGAGAGGATGTGGAGAAATAGGAACACTTTTACACTGTTGGTGGGACTGTAAACTAGTTCAACCATTGTGGAAGTCAGTGTGGCAATTCCTCAGGTATCTAGAACTAGAAATACCATTTGACCCAGCCATCCCATTACTGGGTATATACCCAAATGACTATAAATCATGCTGCTATAAAGACACATGCACACGTATGTTTATTGCGGCATTATTCACAATAGCAAAGACTTGGAACCAACCCAAATGTCCAACAATGATAGACTGGATTAAGAAAATGTGGCACATATACACCATGGAATACTATGCAGCCATAAAAAATGATGAGTTCATGTCCTTTGTAGGGACATGGATGAAATTGGAAACCATCATTCTCAGTAAACTATCGCAAGAACAAAAAACCAAACACCGCATATTCTCACTTATAGGTGGGAATTGAACAATGAGATCACATGGACACAGGAAGGGGAATATCACACTCTGGGGACTGTGGTGGGGTCGGGGGATGGGGGAGGGATAGCATTGGGAGATATACCTAATGCTAGATGACACGTTAGTGGGTGCAGCGCACCAGCATGGCACATGTATACATATGTAACTAACCTGCACAATGTGCACATGTACCCTAAAACTTAAAGTATAATTTAAAAAATAATAATAATAATAATAATAAAAAGACAAAAGATAAAAAAAAAAAAAGAAATTTTCCGAAGAGAGAAGAAATATAAACTGATCAGACAGAAAAAAAAAAAAAAACAGAAGAAACATTTTCTAGAAACCAAGTTTCTATAGAGGTAAAAGTATCCATTCAAGCCTATAGGAATCATGGTATTACCACATCTAAAACAGTTTTATGTCATTCATATGACAAACAGTTAAATGTATCATCACACCTGACTAGTAACTTGTTGTAACAAATGCCTAATATAACTCCAATGGTTTTAAAACCTAACTCAGAATCACCTGCTGAGGTTTTCAAATACAAATTTCTGCACCTCCATCCAAAGTTGTGCTATGTGAAGAGAGCCCTGGAATCTATATTTTTATTATGCTTCCTAAGTAAGTATTACGATCATCCAGGTTTGAGAGGGACTGCCTTAAAAGTAAATGAATGGCTGGTGTGAGTAACTTTTTCAAAGAAGTAAATAAAGACTGACCTGATTAGCTAACTTTCAACAGAAAACACTCAGAAATGTGTCTCAGTTCCCTATATCAAACTCTACCCTCTCCTAACCTAGAATCTAAGAAACATCTAAGAGAAAAAGTGGGGGGAATCAAAGTTATTCATTTTGACACTGAATAAATTATTTTAATACCATCATATGTAACTCTGGGAACCATAACATTTTTTAAAATCAGACTTGTTTTGTCCTAAACTTATTGTAAAATGTAACCTCACTAAACAATTTATTTTTGTAGAAAAATGATTATAAATTGCTAACAATAATTAAGTACTTATGTGCAAAGCACCCAAGTGCTTTACACATATGTTATTACTTAATCCTTGTAACAATCTGATAACATAACCAATTTTATCGTTTTACAGATGAGGAAACTGAGGCACACAGTGATTAATTAACCAAGGTCACAGAATAAGTGTCAAGAGCCAAAATACGAATACATGCCAAAGTATATGCTGTACATCATTATAATAAACTCTCTTCCCAAACATGTCATTCGTTAAAAAAGAACTTCATGTTGTAAGTGAGTGCTTATCTCACTGGATATTTTCAAACTTCCTACTCTCCTTTCACAAGTCCCTTTTGAACTCCACTAATTCTGTAGCCACTAGCCACATGTGGCTATTAAACACTTGAAATGTGTCATCTGGATTCAGATGTTCTGGAAGCATAAAATATACACCAGCATTCCAAAACTTAGTGAAAAAAAGAATATAAATTATCACAATAATTTTTATGTGGATAACATGTTGAAGATTCTGGATATTAGCCCTTTGTCATATGAGTATATGGCAAAAATTTTCTCCCATTCTGTAGGTTGCCTGTTCACTCTGATGGTAGTTTCTTTTGCTGTGCAGAAGATCTTTAGTTTAATTAGATCCCATTTGTCAATTTTGGCTTTTGTTGCCATTGCTTTTGGTGTTTTAGACATGAAGTCCTTGCCCATGCCTATGTCCTGAATGGTATTGCCTAGGTTTTATTCTAGGGTTTTTATGGTTTTAGGTCCAATATCCAGAATCTACAAAGAACTCAAACAAATTTACAAGAAAAAAACAAACAACCCCATCAAAAAGTGGGCGAAGGATATGAACAGACACTTCTCAAAAGAAGACATTTATGCAGCCAAAAGACACATGAAAAAATGCTCATCATCACTGACCATCAGAGAAATGCAAATCAAAACCACAATGAGATACCATCTCACACCAGTTAGAATGGCGTTAATTAAAAACCAGGAAATAACAGGTGCTGGAGAGGATGTGGAGAAATAGGAACACTTTTACACTGTTGGTGGGACTGGAAACTAGTTCAACCATTGTGGAAGACAGTGTGGCCATTCCTCAAGGATCTAGAACTAGAAATACCATTTGACCCAGCCACCCCATTACTGGGTATATACCCAGAGGATTATAAATCATGTTACTATAAAGACACATGCACACGTGTGTTTATTGCAACACTATTCACAATAGCAAAGACTTGCAACCAACCTAAATGTCCATCAGTGATAGACTGGATTAAGAAAATGTGGCACATATACACCATGGAATACTATGCAGCCATAAAAAAGGATGAGTTCATGTCCTTTGTAGGGACATGGATGAAGCTGGAAACCATCATTCTCGGCAAACTATCGCAAGGACAAAAAAAACCAAACACTGCATGTTCTCACTCATAGGTGGGAATTGAACAATGAGAACACTTGGACACAGGAAGGGAAACATCACACACTGGGGCCTATTGTGGGGTGGGGGGAGGGGGGAGGGATAGCATTAGGAGATATACCTAATGTAAATGACGAGTTAATGGGTGCACCATACCAACATGGCACATGTATACATCTGCAATGAACCTGCATGTTGTGCACATGTACCCTAGAACTTAAAGTATAATTTAAAAAAACATGTTCAAATGAAAATATTTTGATATATTGGTAAAATATATTTTTTAAATTAAGTTCACTTGGCATTCTTTAACTTTTTAAAAAATGTTCCTACTAGAAAATTTAAACTACCTGGCTCACATTATATCTATTGGATCGCACTGCTGTAGAATTTCTTCAGTGTCCTTTCTACGACTTTTTACCTTTTCCATCTAGCCCCAAATTAGGCTTTTTCTACTTGTATACTTCTGTGAACCCTACAATATGCATCTATTTAAAGGAAATTATAAACTATGCTTTGGTTTTAACACTGGTTGTCTGTGATGAAAAACTATTCCATATATACCATCCTTCCTTAATTTTTCTCCATAACTACTTGCAAAGAGTCAATAAATAATGAAAGAAAAAAGGAGAGACAGTGCAAAAAGCCATTTGATGATAACTCCAATAATTTACCCCCTAGTAGTGAGTGAAACTTAAAGAAACAGAGAAGGTGTATAATTACATGTATCACCACATCACTCTAAAATCTTCATGCCAAGTTACCCATAGCATGGCTAAATGTACACTTACCCATGAGATTAGTGATAACAGATTCATTTTGTAAAAGTTTGTTGTGACTCTTGTAACATTTTCATTTTAAATATGACTGAAATATTCTAGCCTCTTTCTTTAATAGTGCAAAAGGCATTATTAGAAAAATACAGGAAAGGCAGAAGTACCAAGATAAGTGCCACATCTTTTAGAATAGATGTCCTTTTGTCCTCAAAAGTATGTAATTTCCAAAAGGGAAGTTTGCAAAAAAAAAAAATTCCCTTGGACTTACTTCCTACACAATTTCAGAGGTAATAAAGACTTTACAAGTCAATTCCACTGCCAAACTAATGTCTGAATGTCCTCTACAACATTTCCAAGTGTATGTAATGGGAAACACTTTTTCCCAAGGCTGCTAGTCATTGTCATCGTCATTATCGTTGTCATTATTTTTTCTAATACTGAGCTAAAATGTGTTAACCTGCAGCTTTAACCTATTGGTTCTATTTCTGCCCTCTGCTCTTGGGTCATATAAACCAATCCCATTTGCACTTAAAAGTTCTGCAGTTATTTACAGATAGCTGTTCCCCACCTGGAGAATTCACCGGCTCCCACTCCTGTATACACGTCTCGTCTCACTATCTACAAGTACTAAGTGACTTTCCCTCACCCACAGTACTTTAGCAAGTAGCCAAGCAAATGGGAGTTGCACCTCCACTTCTTGTTTAGCTGCAAGTATTCAGCCAGGGATAGGAAACATACCAAACAGCAATTTATCAGCTCCTCCTTATTAATATTGGTCTCCAAGAAACTATGCTTTCTCTCTCACTTCATTTTAAAGTTTTTTAAAAAAGAAATGTTACTAGTCCAATTCAGGGCCTAGTGGAACCAATGCAGTCATGCAGCATGTACATACAAAATCATGAAGTCCCAGGTTGACTGATCAATGCTTCATTTCCACTTCCATTTGTATTGGGAAAGTAGCATATGTGCCTCTTTCAAGCATTCTTAACCAGTATTGGTTGTTTAACTGGAAGACAACAACAAGGAGTTGGTATCAATCTTCAAGCAGACTCATTAGAAAAAAGAAAAACATTGTCTGGTCAGATTTTTAACACAGGTGAAATGTAACCATAGTAACAAATCCATTCAAATAATCATGAAAAGGAGAATTTTTAAGACCCAATAAAATAGACCTATATGTGAAGAAAAAAAGAAAGTATGACTGATGAAAGGCCTGAAGAAATAGCCCTTAGAACATAGTCTCATTCTCTGGACTTTTTCCCTATTTTTCTGACCCTTAACTGTTGATCATTTTGTATGAAAACCATCTTTTGTTTGTTTTGTTTGTTTACCAACATGGCACATGTATACATATGTAACGAACCTGCACGTTGTGCACATTTACCCTAAAACTTAAAGTATAATAATAATAAAAAAAAGAAAGCATGTTTACATAGGCCTTTTATTGCTGGATCTCTACCCAGCTAATTAGAGCCCAATGGAGAAAGAAACATTGAAAATAATCTTGATTAAGCAGCTTCTCATGATTGAAAGCCTTGCTGAAGGTTTAAGACAAAGGAAGATAGCAAAGGATGGAATGTAATCACCCTTGCCTTCCCTCATCTTTGCCTAGTGGTTTCCTAAAGTACTATTATATAAATTACTCAAATGATGCTGTGGAAAATGAGTTAGACAAGACTTTTTAAATATAACTAATTTCTCTCTCTCTCTCTCTCATCCATCTCTGTCTGTCTGTCTGTCTCTCTTTCTCCTGTCTCTTCACAGTGACTGTTTTGAGCCCAGCAGAAAAAGGTAAGATGATGTTGGAAATTGTATTGATCAGGACCGTGTCCTTTTTTTCATCTAAAAGTAAATAACATAAAAGCCTATAGACCGAGCAATTTTCCCAGAAATAAACTTGGGTGAGGAGAAAGTTTAGAATGATGGTTTTCAGGAAGCTTACACAGAGATAGAGAAAAACATTTTCAGTGTCCCCTTTGGCTGTAGGGCAAGAATTGGAAATTATCAGGATTTATGACAGAGAAGGACACAGTTAAGCACTCTGTCTGACATAGTGACCCTAGGCTGTCTCTTTGTTCAACACTGTTGTCCTAGGTATGTTGCCTTTCTGCCCAGTCCATCTCCTCTTTAAGGCATGGAGTAAAGGCCCCAGAAGAGACTTTAAAGGCTAACTCCTTCACCATCACAGTTCCAGTATATTTATTGTGCTCCTCTCTGCTCCTCACCACCATCTTGGCTTGACCTGCAAAATATACTACCTTTCTAAAGAGATTGTGGCATTTTTCCATTTAAAAAGTGTAAGCTAATCATTAGTCTTAATAAACCTTTAGCTTTACATTATTTTATCAGTAATAACTGTGAGTGTTTATGTAGCCACTTTATACAGCCAGTTGAGAACTTCAGGGGAATTAATTGTTATAATTCGTTAACCTACCTAGCATTCATATTATGCTGTTTTAAAGCTCCAATTTGCTGTTATTCATTCAACAGAGGCATTGGCTATAGAGGCAAGAGAGCAGAGTGGTTGGAAGACAGTAGACCATAGTATACAAAAGTGTGAGTTCTGTAGCTAGACTGTCTGAATTCAAATCCTGGCTCTGCTATTTCCTAGTAAATTATTTTACCTCATTGTGTTCATTTTATTCATGTATAGAATAAAAATGATAATACTACCTGTTACATAGAAGTGTCAAGATATAATGAGTAAATGTATGTAGAGCACTTAGAACAGTGGTAAACAGAAGGTACTGGTGAATCAGTGCATGTTTCCTACCATTATTACAAAATTAGAGCAAGTCTTGAGTTGCCTCTTATTCGTATGCATGACCCTTAAGGTCAGAGATCATCTTCTGAATAAAATATTAAATAATTATATATAAATATTTTCCACAATAAATTTTCAAGACAAATTGAGTAGAGGCTTAGATGATACTGTACCATAATAAGAATAATGGCATAAGCCAGTGAGACTTGACTAGAAACAGAGTCATAGTCTAATGACTATCTGGGGTCCCTTCTAATCCTGTGGATTTGTGACAGATCTGGGATGATCTGGAGCTTAGGAATTTAGTAGAGTCCAGGGATGGGGTGATGATTAAGAGATGAATTTAGGAATGAGATGAACATTAGGCATGATCCATCAGATGATTCACATATAATCAAGAATAATGCATTGTCCACAGTTGCTCATCTTCAAATTATATTTTCACAATTCTATGTAATAGGTTTCAAATTATACTGCACTATCAAAGTAAAACACAATACAGTATATGACTGCCAGTAAGAACATTATTTGGCATTGGCAAAAAAACACAAAAAGCAGTGAAATTAAAGCCTCAAATCACATAACCTTTCAGTCTCCAAAGCTTAAGAAAACCATAGTCAAACATACTGCAAAAGTTTTCCCATTTCTTATCTACTTATAATGATTCCTGTACTGGGTTGTAGAGTGTCTCCCTAAAATTCACATCCACCTGGAACTTGTAAATGTGACCTTATTTGGAAAGATGGTCTTTTCAGATATAATCAAGTTAAGATGAGGCCATACTGGATTCAAGTGAGCCCTAATACAGTCATTGGTATCCTTATATGAAGAGGGAAATTTGGATACACAGACACATACAGAGAGAGGACAGCCATATGAAAATGGAGACAGAGTCTGGAGTTATGCTGCCACAAGCCAAGTAACACTATGGATTGCCCGCAACCTTCAGAAACTAGAAAGAGGCAAAGAAGGATACTCCCCTGGGCATTTCAGCAAGAGTATGGCCCTGCCTACACCTTGATTTCAGACTTCTAGCTTCCAGAACTCTGAGAGAATAAATTTCTATTATTTTAAGCCACCCAGCTTGTGGTCATTTATTACCACAGCCCTAGGAAACAAATACAATTCCTGATAAATTTCACTCTCTAATGCACTGTTAAAAAGCATTATATCAGTAGCAAATAACCAGACTTTGGTGTTAGATCTACCTCGGATCAAGTATTGACTTTGCCACTTACTATATATGTGATCTTGGGGAACTTAACTTCTCTAAGTTTCACTTTCTTCCTCTGTGATCTTTCATGGTTATTTTGAGCACTAATGAGATTATGTATGTAAGTCTCTTGGTATAGTGCCTGACACATGATAAATACAAAATAATAGTTAATAGTATTATGATTATGATTTTTATTGTTATTAACATTGGAGAGGATCTGAAAGATCTCTCTTCTAAGAAGCATAACATATTTCAGGATTATAATTCCTTATGACTACTTTTGTGAATAGATTGTCAAAATCCATACATTTGTATTTTATAGGGAGAACAATTCAGAACCAAAGAAGTAAAATATATTGACCTAGTTATGCTGATTCTACTGCACAGAAAGGACTAAAGCTCAGATCATCTGAATCACAATCCTGAATATTATAGATATATAATATCTGCCTTGGTTTTGCAGGATTCAGATACTCTTTTTTTATTTTTTAATTTTTTTGGATAGATAGTAGGTGTATATATTTAGGAGGTACATGAGATATTTTGATATGGGCATACAATGTGTAATAATCACATCAGGGTAAATGGGATATCCATCACTTCAAACATTTATTATTTCTCTGTATTATAAATATTCCAGTTATACCATTTAGTTATTTTTAAATATACAGTAAAATATTGACTGTTGTCACCCTGTTGTGCCATCAAATACTAGATCTTTTTTAAATATGTGAGTTCATATGTTTTCCCATAGATCATACTTTTAAAAACATGATAATGTATTTATTTTGATTTCATAAATATATTGCATAGATGATTTCATTCAGCATCATACTATCCATATTTTGAAGATCATGACTGGGAAATCTTCCCTGCTCCACACTTGAAGTAAAAATCTGGGATGATCTGGAGCTTAGGGATTTAGTAGAGTCCAGGGATGAGGTGATGATTAAGAGATAAATTTAGGAATGATATGAACTTTAGGCATGATCCATCAGATGATGCACATATAATTAAAATAATGCGTTGCCCACAGTTGCTCTTCTGCAAAAAGGTCCATTAATCATTTTAAACAAAAGTTCAACTAATCTAATAATTAATTTGCATTTTAAATGGTTTGCATACTAAATTTTCTGATTTCATTCATAAAATGGTTGTAATTATTTACCTTTTCAGAAACAGATGTAATTTCTAAATAACAGAACTGTTATGGGTCAACTTGTGTCCTCTCAAAATTCATCTGTTTAAGCCCTTACTTTCAGTACTTCAGAATGTGACTATTTGTATAAGGTCTTTAAAGAGGTAGTTAAGTTAAAATGAGGTCAACTAGGGTGGGCTGTAATCCAGTCTGATGTCCTTATAGGGAAAGGAAATCTGGACACAGATAGGTACAGAAGGAAGACCATGTGAAGACACAGGGAGAAGATGACTATCTACATGCCAAGGAGAGAGGCCTTCAAAATGGCCAATCCTGCTGACACTTTTATCTTGGACTTCTAACCTCCAGAATTGTGAGACAATAAATTTCTGCCATTTAGAGACCCAGTCTGTGTTACTTTATTATGGCAGCCCTAGCAAACTGATACAAGAATATTAGGTTTCCATTTGAAAATCCAAAGTGTAGAAATATCTGCTTCTAACAAAAGCAAAAATTGGCAAATGGGATCTAATTAAACTGAAGAGCTTCTGCACAGCAAAAGAAACTATCAACAGAGTAAACAATCTACAGAATGGGAGACAACCTACAGAATGGAAGAAAATTTTTGCAAACTATGCACTTGAAAAAAGTCTAATATCCAGCAGCTATAAAGAACTTAAATTTATAAGAGAACATCAAATAATCCCATTGAAAAGTGGGCAAAGGGCATGAACAGACAATTTTCAAAAGAAAACATACCTGTGGCCGACAAATGTGAATAAAAGCTCAATATCACTCATCATTACAGAACTGCAAATCAAAACCACAATGAGATACCATCTCAGAATGGCTACTATTAAAAAGTCAAAAAATAATAGATGCTGGTGAGATTGTGGAGAAAAGGGAACACTTACACACTGTTGGTGGGAGTGCAAATTAGTTCAACAATTGTGGAAGACAGCGTGGTGATTCCTCAAAGACCTAAAAACAGAAATACCATTCGACCCAGCAATCCCATTACTGGGTGTATATTCCCCGAGTAATATAAATCATTTTACCATAAAGACACATGCAAGCAAGTGATCATTGCAGCACTATTCACAATAGCAAAGATGTGGAATCAACCTAAATGCCCATCAATGACAGATTGGATAAAGCAAATGTGGTGCATACACACCATGAAGTACTGTGCAGCTATAGAAAAGAATGAGATCATGTCTTTTGTGGGAACATGGATGGGGCTGGAGGCTATTATCTTTACCGAACAGAAAATACCACATGTTCTCACTTATAAGTGGGAGCTAAATTGTGAGAACTCATGAACCATGAAGAAGAGAACAACAGACACTGGGTTCTACTTGAGGATGGAAAGTGGGAGGAGGCAGAGGAACAGAAAAAATAACAATTGGGTACTAAGATTAATAATACCTAGGTGACGAAGTAATCTATACAACAAACCCCTTTGACACAAGTTTACCTATATAAGAAACCTTTACATGTGCCCCCGAACCGAAAATAAAACTTTAAAAATAAAAGAAAGATCTGCTTTGTGTCAGATTCTCAATTATACTAACCTTAATTTATTGGTAATACATTAAACATCAGGAAGGTGAGAGGGCACTGAGAGTAAAACGTCTGGGCTACAGTATGATCTTTTAGACTCACCTCCAGACTGTATAGGAAATCTTCAGGTTGGTTTTAATTAGTTATCTCAGTGCTCTCAATAATATATTATTTTATATTTATTATTATAAAATTACTTTATAATTAAGGTTTAGAGATCAGATAAAAGCCTCCCTTAGATGCTAACCCACTCCTAAAAGACATTTAAATATAGATATTTTTGTTACAAAAATATTTATTGAAAAGTCAAACAATATAGAAATCTAGAAAATGAAAATTTCCAGTTATCTTCACACTGCCTCCTCTATCACTATTCATAGACAACTGCTATATTTAGTTTTATTTGTATTTGAGATCTTTTTCTTTGCATTCACATAGAAACATATAAGTATAGGTATGTATATTTATATAGGCTTGGTTGTTTATTTTAATTGAGTGATACTGTGCATATTTTTCTGAAACTATATTTTTTAATAATATATCATAAATGTATTTCCATGTTACTATATACAAATATATTTCATTTTAAAATGATCTCCGAGTATTTCATAGTATGGGTATACTAGATTTATTTAACCATTTATTATTATTATTATTATTATTTCAATAGTTTTGGGGGAGCAGGTGGTGTTTGATTACATGGATAAGTACTTTAGCTGTGATTTCTGAGATTTTGGTGTACCCATCACCCAAACTGTACACTGAACCCAGTGCGTAGCCTTTTATCCCTCACCCCACTCCCATCCTTCCCCTAAATCCCCAAAGTCCATTCTTATGCATTTGCATCCTCATAACTTAGCTCCCACTTATAACTGAAAACATAGATGTTTGGTTTTCTATTTCTGAGACACTTCACTTAGAATAATGGTCTCCAACTCCATCCAGATAAAATGCCATTATCTTATTCCTTTTAATGGCTAAGTATTATTCCATGATATGTATACACCACATTTTCTTTATCCACTCATTGGTTGATGAGCATTTGGGCTGGTTTCATATTTTTGCAATTGTGAATTGTGCTGCTATAAACATACATGTGCAAGTGTATTTTTCTTATAATGACTTATTTTATTATTTTATTTTAAACCAAAGATACATAGTAGTGGGATTGCTGAGTCAAATGGTAGATCTACTTTCAGTTCTTTAGGGAATCTCCGTAATGTTTTCCATAGTGGTTGTAATAGTTTACCTTCCCATTAGCAGTGTAAAAGTGTTCCCTTTTTACCACATTCATGCCAATGTTTATTGTTTTTTGATTTTTAAATTATGGCCATTCTTGCAGGAATAAGGTGGTATCTCATTGTGGTTTTGATTTGCATTTCCCTGATCATTAGTGATGTCCAGCATTTTTTCATGTTTGTTGGCCATTTGTATATCTTCTTTTTAGAATTGTCTATTCATGTCTTTAGCTCACTTTTTAATGGGATTATTTGTTTTTTCTTGATGATTTGTTTGAGTTCCTTGTAGATTCTGGATATTAGTCCCTTATCAGATGCATAGTTTAAGAATATTTTTTCCCATTCTGTAGATTTTCTGTTTACTTTGCTGAATATTTATTTTGCTGTGCAGAAGCTTTTTAGTTTAAGTCCGATCTATTTATCTTTGTTTTTGTTGCATTTGCTTTTGGGTCTGGGTCATGAGCTCTTTGCCTAAACCAAAGTCTAGAAGAGTTTCCCCATGTTATTTTCTGGAATTTTTATGATTTCAGGTCTTAGGTTAAGTCTTTGATCCATCTTGAGTTGATTTTTGTATATGATGAGAGATGAGGCTTCAGTTTCATTCTTCTGCATATGGCTTGCCAACTATCCCAGCACCATTTGTTGAATCGGGTGTCCTTTCCCCATTTTGTGTTTTGTTTTCTTCCTCAAAGATCAGTTGGCTCTAAGTATTTGGCTTTATTTCTGGGTTCTCTATTCTGTTCCATTGGTCTGTGTGCCTGTTTTTATACAAGTACCATGCTGTTTTGTTGACTATAGCCTGGTAGTATATTTAGAAATTGGGTAATGTGATATCTCCAGATTTGTTCTTTTTGCATAGCCTTTCTTTGGCTATGTGGGCTCTTTTTTGGTTTCATACAAATTTCAGGAATTTTTTTCTAGTTCTGTGAAGAATGATGATGATATTTTAATGGGAATTGCATTGAATCTGTAGATTGCTTTTGTCGTATGGTCATTTTCACAATATTGATTCTACCCATCCATGAGCATGGGATGTGTTTCTACTTGTTTGTGTCATCTATGACTTCTTTCAGCAGTGTTATGTAGTTTTCCTTGTAGAAGTCTTTCACCTCCTTGGTTAGGTATATTCCTAAGTTGTTGCTTTATTCAGTTATTGTAAAAGGGGTTGAGTTCTTGATTTGATTCTCAGCTTGGGCGTTGTTGGTGTATAGCAGTGCTACTGATTTATGTACACTGATTTTATATCCAGACACTACTGCATTCATTGACCAGATCTGGAGCTTTTAGGATGAGTCTTTAGGGTTTTCTAGGTGTACGATCATATCATCGGTAAACAGCAACAGTTTGAATTTCTCTACAGATTTGGATTTTTTTTCTCTCTTTACCAGTTTCTTTCTCTTGTCTGATCGCTCTGGCTAGGACTTCTGATCCTATGTTGATTATAAGTGGTAAAAGTGGGTGGCCAGGCACGGTGGCTCACGCCTGTAATCCCAGCACTTTGGGAGGCTGAGGCAGCCGGATCACCTGAGGTCAGGAGTTTGAGACCCGCCTGACCAACATGGAAAAACCCTGTCTCTACAAAAAATACAAAATTATTCTGGCGTGGTGGTGCATGCCTGTAATCCCAGCTACCCAGGAGGCTGAGGCAGGAGAATCGCTTGAACCCAGGAGGTGGAGGTTGCGGTGAGCTGAGATCACGCCATTGCACTGCAGCCTGGGCAACAAGAGCAAAACACTGTCTCAAAAAAAAAAAAAAAAAGTGGGCATCCTTGTCTTTTTCCAGTTCTCAGGAGGAATGCTTTCAGCTTTTCCCCATTCAGTGTAATGTTGGCTGTGTGTTTGTCATAGATGGCTTTCGTTGCCATAAGGTGTATCCCTTCTATGCTGATTTTGCTGAGGGTTTTAATCATAAAGGGATGCGGGATTTCATCAAATGCTTTTTCTGTGTCTATTGAGATAATCGTATTATTATTGTTTTTAATTCCATTTATATGGTGTATCATATTTATTGCTTGCGTATGTTAAACTAGCCCTGCATCCTTGGTAGGAAACCACTTGATCATGGTGAATTATCTTTTTGATATGCTATTGGATTCGGTTAGCTAGTATTTTGTAGAGGACTTTTGCATCTCTATTCATCAGGGATATTGGTCTGTAGTTTTCTTTTTTTGTTATGTCCTTTCCTGGTTTTGGTATTAGGGCGATACTGGCTTTATAGAATGATTTAGGGAGGATTCCCTTTGTCTCTGTCTTTTGGAATAGTTTCAGTAGGAGTACCTATTCTTCGAATGTCTGATAGAATTCAGCTGTGAATTTATCTGGTCCTGGATTTCTTTTTGTTAGCATTTTTTTGTTACTCTTTCTATCTTGCTACTTGTTATTGGGATGTTCAGAGATTCTGTTTCTTCCTGGTTTAATCTAGGAAGCTTGAATATTTCTAGGAATTTATCCATCTCCTCTAGGTTTTCTAGTTTGTGGTCTTGAAGGTATTCATAGTAGCCTTCAATGATCTTTTGTATTTCTGTGCTATCAGTTGTAATATTTCCTATTTCGTTTCTAATTGAGCTTATTTGTACTTCTCTCTTTTTATGTTGGTTAATCTCGCTAATGGTCTATTGATTTTGTTTATCTTTCAAATATCTAGCTTTTTGTTTTATTTATCTTTTGTATTTTTTGTTTCAATTTCATTTAGTTCTGCTCTGACTTTGTTACTTTTTTTTTCCACTTGCTTTGGTTTGGTTTGTTCTTGTTTCTCATGTTTCTTGAGGTGTGAGCTTAGATTGTTTGTTTGCACTCTTCAGACTTTTTGATGTAGATGCTTAATATTACAAACTTTCTTCTTAGCACCACTTTTGCTGTATCCCAGAGACACAATAGGTTGTGTCACTATTATTATTCAGTCCGAACAATTTTTTCCTTTCCATCTTGATTTTACTGTTGATCCAGGAGCAGATTATTTAATTTCCATGTATGTGTATAGTTTTGAAGGTTCCTTTTGGAGTTAACTTCCAATTTTATTCCACTGTTGTCTGTGAGAGTACTTGATATAATTTCAATTTTCTTAAATTTATTGAAACTTTTTTGTGTCCTGTCATATGATCTATCTTGCAAAATGTTCCATGTGCTGATGAAAAGAATGTATATTCTGCAGTAGTTTGGTAGAATATTCTGTAAATATCTGTTAATTCCATTTGTTGTAGGGTATATAGCTTAAATACATTGTTTCTTTGTTGGCTTTCTGTCTTGATGACCAGTCTAGTGCTGTCAGTTGAGTATCGAAGTCCCCCACTACTGCTGTGTTGCCATCTATCTTGTTTCTTAGGTCTAATAGTTATTGTTTCATAAATTTGGGAGCACAAGTGTTAGGTGCATATATATTTAGGATTGCTACATTTTCCTATTGCCCTAAATTTTTCATCATTATATAATGTCTCTCTTTGTCTTTTTTAAATTTGTTCCTTTAAAGTCTGTTTTGTCTGATATAAGAATAGCTACTCTGGTTCACTTTTGGTTTCCATTGGCATTGAATATCTTTTTCCACACCTTTACCTTAAGTTTATGTGAGTCCATATGTCTTAGGTGAGACTCTTGAAGACAGGAGATACTTGAGTGGTAGATTTTTCTCCATTCTGCCATTCTGTATCTTCTAAATAGATTATTTAGGCCATTTATATTCAACTTTAGTATTGAGATGTGAACTAATGTTCTATTCATTATACTAGTTGTTACCTGAATACCTTGTTTTTCTTTTTTTTTTTTTAATTATGCTTCAAGTTTTATGGTACATGTGCACAATGTGCAGGTTAGTTACATATGTATAGATGTGCCATGTTGGTGTGCTGCACCCATTAAATCATTATCTAACATTAGGAATGCCTCCTAATGCTATCCCTCCCCCCTCCCCCCACCGTACAACAGTCCCCAGTGTATGATGTTCCCCTTCCTGTGTCCATGTGTTCTCATTGTTCAATTCCCACCTATGAGTGAGAACATGCGGTATTTGGTTTTTTGTCCTTGTGATAGTTTGCTGAGAATGATCTTTTACAGTTTCATCCATGTCTCTACAAAGGACATGAACTCATCATTTTTTATGGCTGCATGGTATTCCATGGTGTGTATGTGCCACATTTTCTTAATCCAGTCTATCATTGTTGGATATTTGGGTTGGTTCCAAGTCTTTGCTGTTGTGAATAGTGCCGCAATAAACATACGTGTGCATGTGTCTTTATAGCAGCATGATTTATAATCCTGTGGGTATATACCCAGTAATGGGATGGCTGGGTCAAATGCTATTTCTAGTTCTAGATCCCTGAGGAATCGCCACACTCACCTCCACAATGGGTGAACTAGTTTACAGTCCCACCAATAGTGTAAAAGTGTTCCTATTTCTCCACATCCTCTCCAGCACCTGTTGTTTCCTGACTTTTTAATGATCGCCATTCTAACTGGTGTGAGATAGTATCTCATTGTGGTTTTGATTTGCATTTCTCTGAATGCCAGTGATGATAAGCATTTTTTCATGTGTCTTTTGGCTGCATAAATGTCTCCTTTTGAGAAGTGGCTATTCAAATCCTTTGCCCACTTTTTGATGGGGTTGTTTTTTTTCTTGAAAATTTGTTTAAGTTCATTGTAGATTCTGGATATTAGCCCTTTGACAGATGAGTATATTGCAAAACTTTTCTCCCATTCTGTAGGTTGCCTGTTCACTCTGATGGTAGTTTCTTTTGCTGTGCAGAAGATCTTTAGTTGAATTAGATCCCATTTGTCAATTTTGGCTTTTGTTGCAATTGCTTTCGGTGTTTTAGACATGAAGTCCTTGCCCATGCCTATGTCCTGAATGGTATTGCCTAGGTTTTCTTCTAGGATTTTTATGGTTTTAGGTCTGACATTTAAGTCTTTAATCCATCTTGAATTAATTTTTGTATAAGGTGTAAGGAAGGGATCCAGTTTCAGCTTTCTACATCTGGCTAGCCAGTTTTCCCAGCACCATTTATTAAATAGGGAATCTTTTTCCAATTTCCTGTTTTTGTCAGGTTTGTCAAAGATCAGATGGTTGTAGATAAGCGGCATTATTTCTGAGGGCTCTGTTCTGTTCCATTGGTCTATATATCTGTTTTGGTACAAGTACCATGCTGTTTTGGTTACTGTAGCCTTGTAGTATAGTTTGAAGTCAGGTAGCATGATGCCTCCAGCTTTGTTCTTTTGGCTTAGGATTGACTTGGCAATGTGGGCTCTTTTTTCTTTCATATGAACTTTAAAGTAGTTTTTTCCAATTCTGTGAAGAAAGTCATTGGTAGCTTGATGGGGATGGCATTGAATCTGTAAATTACCTTGGGCAGTATGGCCATTTTCACGATATTGATTCTTCGTACCCATGAGCATGGAATGTTCTTCCATTTGTTTGTATCCTCTTTTATTTCATTGAGCAGTGGTTTGTAGTTCTCCTTGAAGAGGTCCTTCACGTCCCTTGTAACTTGGATTCCTAGGTATTTTATTATCTTTGAAGCAATTATGAATGGGAGTTCACTCATGATTTGGCTCTCTGTTTGTCTGTTATTGGTGTATAAGAATGCTTGTGATTTTTGTACATTGATTTTGTATCCTGAGACTTTGCTGAAGTTGCCTATCAGTTTAAGGAGATTTTGGCCTGAGATGATAGGGTTTTCTAGATATACAATCCTGTCATCTGCAAACAGGGACAATTTGACTTCTTATTTTCCTAATTGAATACCCTTTATTTCCTTCCCCTGCCTTATTGCCCTGGCCAGAATTTCCAACACTGTGTTGAATAGGAGTGGTGAGAGAGGGCATCCCTGTCTTGTGCCAGATTTCAAAGGGAATGCTTCCAGTTTTTGCCCATTCAGTATGATATTGGCTGTGGTTTTGTCATAGATAGCTCTTATTATTTTGAGATACGTCCCATCAATACCTAATTTACTGAGAGTTTTTAGCATGAAGGGCTGTTGAATTTTGTCAAAGGACTTTTCTGCAACTATTGAGATAATCATATGGTTTTTGTCGTTGGTTCTGTTTATATGCTGAATTAAGTTTATTGATTTGCGTATGTTGAACCAGGCTTGCATCCCAGGGATGAAGCCCACTTGATCATGGTGGATAAGCTTTTTGATGTGCTGCTGGATTCCATTTGCCAGTATTTTACTGAGGATTTTTGCATGGATGTTCATCAAGGATATTGGTCTAAAATTCTCCTTTTTTGTTGTGTCTCTGCCAGGCTTTGGTATCAGGATGATGCTGGCCTCATAAAATGAATTAGGGAGGATTTCCCCTTTTTCTATTGATTGGAATAGTTTCAGAAGGAATGTACCAGCTCCTCCTTGTACCTCTGGTACAATTCGGCTGTGAATCCATCTTGTACTGGACTTTTTTTGGTTAGTAAGCTATTAATTATTGACTGAATTTCAGAGCCTCTTATTGGTCTATTCAGAGATTCAACTTCTTCCTGGTTTAGTCTTGGGAGGATGTATGTGTCGAGGAATTTATCTATTTCTTCTAGATTTTCTATTTTATTTTCATAGAGGTGTTTGTAGTATTCTCTGATGGTAGTTTGTATTTCTGTGGGATCAGTGGTGATACCCCGTTTATCATTTTGTATTGTATCTATTTGATTCTGCTCTCTTTTCTTCTTTATTAGTCTTGCTAGCGGTCTATCAATTTTGTTGATCTTTTGAAAAAACCAGTTCCTGGATTCACTGATTTTTTGAAGGATTTTTTTGTCTCTCTATTTCCTTCAGTTCTGCTCTGATCTTAGTTATTTCTTGCCTTCTGCTAGCTTTTGAATGTGTTTGCTCTTGCTTCTCTAGTTCTTTTAATTGTGATGTTAGGGTGT